>NC_000001.11:240729576-240881091 GCF_000001405.40 Homo sapiens | reverse complement strand
TTGCAGTATGTGTTTTTTTAAATCCAAAAATCACTGTGGTTCTAAATATATGTGTATTCAGCATAAATATAATTACAAAATATATTTGAGTCTTGGGGTTGATGTTACAAGTAACAATTGGCTAATACACCATACTTTCCAGAAGTTTACCAAAATTTTTCCCTCCCTCTTCCTGCAAAGAATAAAAAGAAAGCAAAACCAGAGGAAAAGGAATTATTAGCACAGAGTGGAAATTAGAATGGTACCACACACTACTCATTTGAAAAATTAACATTTTTCTGGAATCAATAAAATTTAGCCAAATGGAAGGGACATGGTGGTGTCAGACTTTCTCGAGAAATTAGCATTGGATGGAATTCTGACCAACCCCAGTAGGAATTCCCCATATTGATGCATGAGGGCTGGAAATAAGTGGGTCCTGGGAGGGCAGAAAGGCTTTCCCCATCTTGGAGCAAGGTTTCTTAGGCATGAGCGTGGCACCAGAGGAGAAAGCTTTGTCCGTGACCTCAGTTTATAGAGCAGCACAGGCTCTCTCAGACACTGGGGAGCAAGCTCGAGGGTAGAGGGGAGACACTGGGAGGAGAGCAATGCAGTGGCCTTGAAGGATTGCTGCAGTGGCTGGTCAACAGCCGTGATGGGAAACCCAAGATTAATAGCATTAGTCTCTATTTGAACTTCACCAGTGTAGCAGCCTCACTTATAAATGAGCAAGCAAACTCCAAAGACCAGAAATAAGAGTAACTTAACACAGGGCCAGGAGCGATGGCCCACGCCTGAATCCCAGCACTGTGGGAGGCCAGAGCGGGAGAACTGCTGGAGCCCGGGACTTCAAGATCAACCTGGGCAATATGGGGAGACCCCATCTCTACAAAAAATTTAAAATTAGCCAGGCATGGTGGCATGTGCCTGTGAGTCTCAGCTATTCAGGAGGCTGAGGCAGGAGGATTACTTAAGCCCAGGAGGTCAAGGCTATGGTGAACAATGGTTGTACCACTGCACTCCAGTCTGGGTGACAGAGGGAGGCCCTGTCTCAAATAGAATAATAAAATAAGATAGGAAGTGCCCAATTTTGGAGCATCTGAGATTTGATAAAATAATTTCAGCAAATATAGACTTTTTAAAAAAACCACTGTTCCAAGACAAAATTTTCAGCCTTAATTTTCCAAGACACCAGCTTTCTCTGCATGCCCTGCAGAATCTAAATAATTGTGATAAAAATATTTTCTGAATGGAATGTGAATGCTATAATTATTTTTTAAAACTATGACAGAGTTTATGATAAATTCTAGTAATTAAAAAAGTTGGAAAGACTGGAGGGAGTGAAGATATGCTAATTTCTCCATCATTTATGGAGGGAAGCAATAATAAGCAGTGTTCAGTTTCTGAGATTAAAATTCAAGAAATACATATTTAAGCATTTGTACAAAGATATGAGCATGGCCACTAACGGAGTGGTAACAAGTTTTGTCACTTTCCAGTTATAAACGTAGGAATGAAAGAAAACTCACTCCATCTAACAAAAGGTAGAAAACAAAAGAAATACCATCAGAGAGAGGGAGAGTGATGAAGACTTGAGAAAAGGAATACAAACAGCTTTCAAAAATGAATGGGGATTTTTAAATTCATCTGTAAAAAGAACAAGTATCTTTAGATTAGATCCTAAATAAAATCTACAAATATCTTTCCAGAGGAAAGAGAAGTAAGACACACTGACTCGTTTAAAATAAATGGTGAGGCAAAGATATACCAGGCAAATACATGTAGAAAATAAAATTTGAACTTGCAATATTGGTCAAGTAAAAAATAATCCAAGGTAAAAAGTATTAAATTGAGCCACATTAGTGAAGGGGACAATCGATTCGTAGACATTTTTGAAATTAAAATCTGTGATATGAAAACTGTTGGAGATACAAGAAAACAGACACAGAAATCTACTGAAAGGGTTAGACTTTAATGCACCTCTCTCAAGCCGGATTGGCAAAAATTCAAGTCTGGAATGAAGGTAGGAATATTTGTACATTACTGGACAAGTATTATGGGACAATTTTGGCAGTGTCATAAAATTCAAACTGTGCCTATCGCCACAACCCTTTGATACCATTTCTAGGAATATATGCTTAGAGAAACTTTCACTGGATTGTTCTTTGTAATAGAAAAAGGAAAAAATAAAAAGAAAAAAAACTTGTGTATTTAGTAATAGGGATATGACTAATCAATGTGAGCTACATTCATAGGATAGACTACAGCAGTTAAGGGAAATAAGCTACATCTATTGAAAACAGCCTGGGTAAATCTCAGTAATGTTATTTTAAGTGAAAAAAAGCAGATTGCAGACCATGTACTGTTGATCCTCTGTGTGTGTGTGTGTATACACCAAATCAGTATTCTCTTAAGTATGCTGAATATTTTCTGCATTGTTTAGTAAACTTTTCCCCCAAAACCTGGGGAAAAAACATATTTCCTCATATATACCTAACATTAGTTTTTATCTCTAATGTATTAATGGGCCTTAAGTCTAATTTAAAAATGTTAAATACCCAATAGAAAAATCAGCAAATTATAGTTAATTAGTTAATTCATCAAAGCAAAAAAAAAAAAAAAAGAAAGAAAAAAGAAAAGAAAGAAAAGAAAACACAAAACCTCGAATGAACACTAGGCAAATGTTTTCACTCCCCAACTATGTTTTGAGCATCTACTATGTGCCAGGTACTCTTCTAGCCATGCGGATTGATTGGTGAACAGAATAGGCAAACCTCTGTCCTGGTGGAGGTGACATTCTGGTGGGTCGGTGGAGGGAAGAAGAATAGGGGGAGAAAAACTAAGAAGTTAACTACATAAATGAATGCATAAGTTGTACATTAGGACATGAAAAGTTGTGTGGAGAAAAACTGGGAAAGGGGCTTGGTGGAGAAGGGGGAAGATATTCTGGAGAGAATTCAGTTCAGCTCTGGGGTAGGGCTCTCCAGAGACGGAAAGGAGAGAAGACATAGGGGACATCTGGTGTGAGGCTCAGGCAGGGTGGAAGGTGAATGGGAGATAAATCCAGAGGGTCACTTAATGGGGCAGTAAGGACTGTGGCTTTTCCTAGAGAGAGATGAGATGGGAAGTAGTAGATAAAAGGGAGGGTTTTGAGTACACTGACTATCTGACTTATGTCTTAACAGAATAACTCTGATGGCTTTGCTGAAAATAGACTCTCCAGAGTTGAAAAGCATCTGATATATGCTCATGTCTAAACTTTCTGAAATTTGGTTATAAAGATCACAGGTCTTGAAAGGTGCATGGGCCCTGACTCAGCAATAACCCTTTCAGGAAACTGGCAATTTCAAAAACAAATAAAGATGCATACATAAAGACACATATATATACATGCGTGTATGTTCACACAACTGTTAGCATATAATAGCAAAATAATAGCTATCACCCAAATGTCCAATAATAAGAACTCATTAAAATAAATTACATTACATCTCAGCACTGGATTACCATGAAATAATTTTTTAAAAAATATTATAGACCAGCACTTATTGATATGAAAAGTTAGCCACAACAGACTATTAAAGAAGAAAGTTTATAATACAGCATGTGTGGTACAGTTTTGAGCACACTTAAAATAAATATATGCATATAGATTTTGTATATAAACAGATATTCATATGTGTATTAGCAGATGTATATATAAAAGAAAATCAAACTATATACCAAATAATGACAGAAATGGTATTATAATGATTTTTTACTTTATATATTTTTTCTGTATATATTTTACTTTATATATTTATATAAATACTTTACATATATAAATATATAAATACTTTAGACATATATATTTACTGTATATTTTTTACTTTATATATTTTTCTGGACTTTTACAATGAGGAGGAATTAAGGGTTTTACAAATCAAGTTATTTCAGCTTTTTAGGTAGAACAATTTGTACACATCATTTTGAATGATGATCTAGTATCTTGTTGAACAGATATTCATGATTTTCTTGCAATTTCCTTTGTGTTTCCATATTTAATATAGTGTATTCTTAGCCCTCTAGCTTTCCTGTTATTCCCTTGGGTAATAGTCCTAGAAAAGCAAGTCCTAGAATTATGGCCATGAATTTTTTGGGGGTTTTTTGGAAACAAAGTCTCATTCAACTGTTGCCCAGGCTGGAGTGCAGTGGCCTGATCTCGGCTCACTGCAACCTCTGCCTCCTGGGTTTAAGCAATTCTCCTGCTTCAGCCTCCCAAGGAGCTGGGATTACAGGTGTGCACCACCAAGCCCAGCTAATTTTTTGTATTTTAGTAGAGATTGGGTTTCACCATGTTATCCAGGCTGGTCTTAAACTCCTGAGCTCAAGCAATCTGCCTGCCTCAGCTCCCAAAATGCTAGGATTACAGGTGTGAGCCACTACACCCAGCCTATGGCCATGAATGTTTTAAGGCTTTATTACTCACTCTCACGTCCTTTCCAAGGAGACTTTCCCCTGTTTATTTGCCCACCAGCAGCTCTCTTTCACTCTTCTTTTGCCAGAATGGATTATTCCCCTTTAAACTCTCTGCTGTTTTGCTGAGTGGAAAATGGTTTCTGTAACAGGATGTTAACATGGAAACCCAGCCAAAGTGTTAAGTGGGTCAAGATCAGGTGTAAAGGGGCTGTGTTCCACTAACATATGCATGATCCCAGTAATTGCTTTCTGCTCACATCAAGGGTCTAAGGGCAAGGCATTGTCTTGAAGACCGAGTCTGGAATCCATAGGATGTTGGGAGCCATTGCTTCCACCAGCCCTGAGTGGATGGAGCCAGGGGTGACCGCGCCTTATCTCACTCCTGATAAGAGACTTCAAGGGGCTGCTGAGAGTGCTAGATGAGAGTCACGCACCCCTGGGAACACAATAGGCCACAGACTTGTAGGCCATGGGATTCTGAAGGGCAAGAGGCAGGCTGTCTAGCTATGGGTGGAAGAGTTGAAAGGGAGGTGGCTCTGTTCTGCAGCCTTCTATTAAGGCAAAAAATAAAATGTGTGAATGTTTCTCTTAGGCATCATCTAAACCCTGTGTGAGACAGTCCTGTCCTACATGGCAGACTGGAGGGGCAAACAGCATCATAGAGAGAGGCTAAAGGTACCGTAAAAATCATAAGGAGCTTTAAACTTTTGCCAAGTCTAGAGAGTGGCAAGCTAGATCACCCTGGTGGTATCAATGAAGCAGGAAGACGAATAAGCCAATTAAATAATGAGCAAGAAACCTAAATAGACATTTTTCAAAAGAAGACCTACAAATGGCCAACAGGTATGTGAAAAGGTGGTCCCCGTCACTAATCATCAGGGAAATGCAAATCAGAACCACAGTGAGATATTGCCTCACACTTGTAAGAATGGCTTTGATTGAAAAGATGAAAGGTAACAAGCGTTGGGGAGAATGTGGAGAAAAGAGAACCCTGATACACTGTTGCTGGTGGGAATGTAAATTAGTACGGCCATTATGGAAAACTGTACAGAAGTTCCTCAAATAATGAACCTAGAACTACCATAGGATCCAGCAATTCCAATTCTGGGGATCTACCCAAAGAAAATAAAATCAGTATTTGGAAGTGATACCTGAACTTCCACGTTCATTACAACATTATTCACAATAGCCAAGATACAGAATCAACCTAAGTGTCCAGCAACAGGCGAATGGGTAAAGAAAATGTGGGATAGATACACAATGAAATACTATTCAGCCTTTAAAAATACAAAAAATCTTGTATTTGCAGCAACATGATGCGCCTGGAGGACATTATGTTAAGTGAAATAAGTCAGGCACTGAAACACAAATACTGCGTGATGTCACTCGTGTGGAATCTGAAAAAAGTTTATCTCATAGAAGCAAAAAGTAGAATGGTGATTACCAGGGCCTGGGGGCAGTGGGGGCAGATATTGGTTAAAGAGCGCAAAGTTTCAGTTAGAGGACTAAGTTCTGGAAGACTGTTGTATAGCGGGATGATGATAGTTACCATTAATACTTGAAAATTGCCAAGAGAGTAGTTTTTTGTTTTTTGTTTTTTGTTTTTTGTTTTGAGATGGAGTTTCGCTCTTGTCACCCAGGCTGGAGTGCAATGGTGGGATCTCAGCTCACTGCAACCCCCGCCTCCCGGGTTCAAGCAATTCTCCTGCCTCAGCCTCCCGAGTAGCTGAGATTACAGGCACCCGCCACAACACGCAGCTAAATTTTGGTATTTTTAGTAGAGATAGGGTTTCACCATATTGGCCAGGTTGGTCTCGAGCTCCTGAGCTCAAGTGATCTGCCCACCTCAGCCTCCCAAACTGCTGAGATTACAGGCATGATCCACTGCACCCGGCCGAGAGTAGATTTTCAAAGTTCTCATCACAAAAAGTGGTAAGAATGTGAAGTGACGGAAATGTTAATTAGCTTGATTTAGTCATAGCAAAGCGTATAACCTATATTAAAACATCACGTAGCACAATATAAATATATGCAATTTCTCATTTATCAACTAAAATATTTTAAAAATTTTTAATGTTAAAATAATAAAGGAAAGCTCCTGTGAAGCACATATTTATTTTTGTTACATACCAGATTTAATTTTTTATCTCAGCAATAAAATTCAAAATCTCCATCAAATATAATAAAGTTCTATTCCAATGAAAAATGTAATAAAAATGTCAGTCTTCCCCTTTCCTCTCCTACACTCCAGCCCCAGGAGGATCAGAGGCCTCAGTTCATGGTTCTTGGTGAGAGTCACAAAAGGGAGTTGGGGAGGGGAGAAAGAAGCCACTCACACTTCTTCTCACCCACAATTTGCATGATTATTTGATCATTACTTGAGATGAACATTCTCATTAATAACTTGGTACCCTTTTGTTTTGTTTTGTTTATAAACAGCAAACGTTTATTTCTCACAATGCTGGAGGTTGAGAAGTCCAGGATTAAAGTGCCAACTGATTTGATGTCTGGGGAGGGCCCACTTTCTGGTTCATAGTCGGCACTGTCTTGCTGTGTCCCCACATGGTAGAAGGGTGAACCACCTCCTTCGAGTCTATTAATAAAAGCACTAATCTCATTAAGGAAGGTTCCATCCTCATGACCCAATCATCTCTCAAATAACTTGGGACTCTTTGAATTACTCAAGCATGAGAAGGAAGATTGTACAAACTGCCTGACTGTTTAAAATTCAGGAACAAGAGAAGAATTAGCCACAAACTAAACATTAAAAGAGAAAAAAAAAAGAATAGCATGACAATGTAAGTTAATTTGCATTACCTGGGTTGTAAGCTGGGTAATTTTAAAATATTTATTGGACTTTTGTAGTTCTAGTCTTGGTGAATGATATATTCCTACTCTTTCCACATTTTGATACTGGGGTCTTAGTGATTTTCTCGCTGACCTGTGTGATGTGCTTTCATACCTTTGTCATGGGCATCAGTGTTGTCTGAGAGACCACTCCAGCTTCTCTAGAGCTTTATAAATTAAAGGGGAAGACCTGACGTCAGCACTCACTTTCTATTCTGTTTCTACTCAAAGATGGGATCCAGAAACTTTGACTTTTCCATCTAAGTTCTAAGTTGCATTTGGGCCAAAATCTATGCCTTATCTATGGAGCTTTCTTAGCCAGAGTAGCACTTCAGGCCTGCCCAAACTTTCTCCCACTTAGTGGCATAGCCTCCTGTTAAATTACTTGTTTGACCTCCCAAGTCTTCCAAATTGTCTCCTGATGATCTCCCAGAAAACTACTGCAGGGAGATATATTTAAACTTGGTATTGAAATTACATCTTTAATAATAGAAAATATTTTAAATAGAACCCCAAAAATGGCATCATTAGTTGATATTTTCAATATTTCATCACAGCAGGAAATATTCGGGGTTATGTTATAAAAGATTCACTCTTTTGGGTCTGGGCCTAGGTCTATACCTAGCACCATATAGAGCATGTTCAGTGCCAAAATAATTAGGATTGGCACAAAAGCACCTTGCCTTAGCTGAAGTTTTTTGTTTGTTTGTTTTTGTTTTTGTTTTTTTTTAGACGGAGTCTTGCTCTGTCACCCAGGCTGGAGTGCAGTGGCATGATCTTGGCTCACTGCAACCTCTGTCTCCTGGGTTCATGTGATTCTCCTGACTCAGCTTCCCCAGTAGCTGGGACTACAGGCGCCTGCCACCATGCTTGGCTAATTTTTTTGTATTTTTAGTAGAGACGAGGTTTCAGCATCTTGGCCACACTGGTCTTGAACTCCTGACCTTGTGATCCACCCATCTCGGCCTCCCAACCTGCTGGGATTACAGGCATGAGCCAATGTGCCCAGCCTGAGCTGTAGTTTTGACTATGCATGAGTGCATTCATTTTGTCAGTCTTCAATGAATTGGGAAATTTCCTGAATTGGAATCATCTTTGATCTACTTGGACCTTCTGCCTCATCCACATCTTGACCAATGCTGATACTCTCTGCTAATAAAGAATAAAAAGTATTATCTGTACCTGTCATCATACAGCAACTGTGTCTGGACTAGACTGATGAGGTCTGGGCCTATCCGGTCAAGAGCATATTTGCTGTATCTTCAACAGTTACCAGATTATTCTGTACACTGCTAACTCAGACTTGTACCTTTTGCCTCTTTCTTTCTTATTTTATTTTATTTTTTTAAGAGACAGAGTCTTGCTCTGTTGCCCAGTCTGGAGTGCAGTGGTGCAATCATAGCTCACTGCAGCCTCAAACTACTAGTCTCAAATGATCCTCCTTCCTCAGCCTCCCAAGTGTAGCTAAGACCACAGAAATAAGCCACCATGCCCTGCTTCCTGTCTTTCTTTATACCAAAGAATCAAGTAGACATTTAGGGAGATTTTATCACTTAAGTTGATTTGACCTCGAAATAGCTCCTTCTGAAGATATCCTATTCATTCATTTGTTAATTCACTCATTCAACAAATATTTGTGATACCAATATTTTATGCCTGGCACTGTCTGCCCGCACCTTCATTTTTTTCCCTAGAGAATTAAAGAAAAATCACATCATAGGACACCTGTATTACAAGATACATAATGTCTTTGTGAGCAGTCATGTAAAAAATAAAATCATCCCACTCTTGCTTTAAGGCATTAGGGTACCTAATGGTGAGAAACATTTCCCCAAAGGGAGCTGATTTTGCAAATAATAAAGATTAGATGGGCAAAACCAATAAAGCAAGGAGAAGCTGATGCAGGAGGACACAGGAGGTGTGACTGATGGAGGGCATAGCTGGGGCTTGAAATTTCATCAGAGGTAATTCCACAGGAAAGCTGAAATTATTCAATTAGATATTTAAGAAAATTTGATCTTTCTCTCATGAAGAGACACCCTCAGGGGTATTTCACTTACGCTTCAATTTCTTTTACAACTGCTTAGAACATTTTAGATATTTTATTCAAGTCACAGTGGCGTCTATAGTAAGAGATCCTTCGGGAGTGAGCATCAGTTATGATGAATTAGGAAATGAACACATCATGTCACTTTTGTTTATGAAGTCTGACTTTTAAAAATTACTAATATTAGTAGAACAATAAAATTATTATGGTAGATTGTACAAAGATGTGTTCTAATACTATATACTGGGTTCTTAGCATTTGTAGGAATGTCAGCATCATTCTGTGGTTGGCTCTCTCCTTCGTCTTGACTTTCATACAGGAAACCTTACAGAAATTGAGTAAATAGTATTCCTGTTTGCACCGGTCTTAAATTTTCTGTGTAGTGTGTTTCCTTAGTGATACCAGCTGGACGTCGTTATCCAAAACTTGGGGTGGTAAGTGTAGTGCAAAGGTGATATTTCCAAGGCAAACTCACAGAGGTAGACTTACAATAAGTAATATTTGACAGTCCTCATCCAATGCATTTACTCAGCATCTAGAACAGATACAATGTATCTTGAGTTTCATGAGACTCAAATATCATGCATATTTAGTGAAAAACAATGACAAAAATGTTCTGGCAATTGGGACTCTACCAGAGGGCTGTGAATGCCTTGAGTTTGTCATGAGAGTCACTGGAATACCCTGAAATAATTGAAGAAATTTGCTCAATTGCAACACTGCTGTCACCACCTTCTCCTATAAATCTGCTGCCCAGATGGACTTTCCATGGTAGCCCAGGCCATCGACTCCTCAGGAAAATGGAAATACTGTGGAAGGTAGGTAAGATGTGATACCCTTCTCCTAGTGACAAAACGATGGAAGATTGGCTCTTGTGAAATGAAGCCAAGAAGATGCAAGAAGTCTTCAGTGTACATGAACAGATTGTTTCAGTTGACAGTAGAATCTGGACATCGTTGAATGTGCCACTAATTCATAATTTCCTTTTCACAAAATGATTTTATTTGGATATATAGATTTTTAAGTTCATTTGGTGACCCTTTTAGGAGGTTTTGTTTTCTCCTCTTATTTGTTGAAGATGCTAAAAACTGTGATGACCATTTAATAAAAATTTTTAAATGATTATGTCTCATGCCTATAATCTCAGCACTTTGAGAGGCCGAGGTGGAAGGATCACTTGAGCCCAGGAGTTCAAGACCAGCCTGGGCAACAAAGCGAGAAGCTGCTCTACAAATAATAATAATAACGATAAAATTAGCTAGGCTTGGTGGCTCACGCCTATAGTCCCAGCTACTCGGGAGGCTGAGGCGAAAGGATCAATTGAGCCTAGGAGTGTGTGGCTGCAGTGAACAAGGATCTTACCACTACACTTGCTTCAGCCAGGGTGACAGAGTAAGACCATCTCTGAAAAAAAAAAGTTACCAAGTTTCTTAGCATATTTATTTTATTAGGGTATCATAAATACTATGATGCTTGAATTTCAGTAATAATGTTATTACATAATTATTTTTTGTCTAAGAAAATGATCAAAAATTACAACTTGGGAAAAAAGTGCAATGCCCTTGATTTGTAATGTTGTACTTTTACTTATAGTGCCATGGTGTTGATAAGCAGGCAAGAAATGATTGATTTTTTTTTCAGCCGTTTACCTCTGCAAGAGAACAATGCAAAACAAGGCACGACTGGAGCTCGCAGACTATGAGGCTGTAAGTACCAAGGACCTTCTGGCAAAGATAGTCATAGAATGCACAGCAGTAAGGCCCACAGCCTTTTCTGGGCAGGATGTTAACTCTTCATTCATGGATCTTTTTCTTTTTTTTGAGATGGAGTTTCACTCTTGTCACCCAGGCTAGAGTGCAGTGGCACGATCTTGGCTCACTGCAACCTCTGCCTCCCAGGTTCAAGTGATTCTCCTGCTTCAGCCTCTGGAGTAGCTGGGATTATAGGCGTGCACCACCACGCCCAGATAATTTTTGTATTTTTAGTAGAGACTGGGTTTCGTCATGTTGGCCAGGCTGGTCTTGAACTCCTGACCTCAGGTGATCTACCCGCCTCAGCCTCCTAAAGTGTTGGGATTACAGGCACGAGCCACCACGCCCAGCCTCATTCATGGATCTGAAGGGTCAGATTTCTAGGGATCTGGCATCACAGTGGGTGCATGAATCCCTGTTTGCTTACTTCCTCTCTTCATTCACATTGCATATGGCAAAACTCTAAATACATAAACTCAAAGTATAAAAGGGAAGCATATCTTATTTTCTAA
The DNA here is from genome assembly GCF_000001405.40 of Homo sapiens. Lineage (NCBI taxonomy): Eukaryota > Metazoa > Chordata > Mammalia > Primates > Hominidae > Homo > Homo sapiens. Next base: position 240,869,497 of record NC_000001.11, on the reverse strand, counting down.
AATCGACTTAACTGTCGAAATGTCAGATACATCCTACATAGTGAAGATATCCAAACTCTGAGGATTAAAGACCATTTACCCTGGGAAAGAGTGGGTTTTGCCAAAATTGTCTCTGCTGACAGTGATCTTCAGCAGATAAAAGTCATCTGCTGTCATTTGTGCAGATGGTTGCTATGTTAGATTTTCTGAATTCAAAGCACTGTGTAGGAATAGGTTGTGGGCCGCCAGGGTGTGCCATGTATTGTCAGGAACTGAATAGGCTGATTGCATGCGTAGTAGGAATGTACTGATGTTCTGTTCCTCTATAAAGTGGGTACCGAAAAATCCAGTGGGTTCATCTGAGCACCTCCTTATGTACTAGGTAATTTTAGTATTTTTCAGATACATATTGGGTTTGTAGTCCTGTTCTCCAAAGTCAGTAATTCAAAAAATCGATATTTGTAACAGGTTTTTCTGCTTCCTTTAAGACTGCCAATATGAAGATGAGCTGAATTCAGGGAGCATGACTTATCATTGAGAACCACAGTACACTTAGGGCTTTAGAAACTCTCTATTTGTTTCCTTGACAAATACAAGTGGTAACTAAGCTAGAAGAGAGCAGTGACAATGAACACCAAATGTCTTCACCTGGGGTATGTTTTTCAGGAGAGCCTGGCCAGGCTGCAGAGAGCATTTGCCCGGAAGTGGGAGTTCATTTTCATGCAAGCAGAAGCACAAGCAAAGTGAGTCCTTGTGAGTCGTTTGGAAGATTTGTTCCAGTTGTGGCCTTTTTGTTCAGAGAGGCACTACAATTAATACTAAATGTTATCTATTGTTACTGTGTTGACAGAGTGGACAAGAAGAGAGACAAGATTGAAAGGAAGATCCTTGACAGCCAAGAGAGAGCGTTCTGGGACGTGCACAGGCCCGTGGTAAGCAAGCGTCGCACTCTCGTCTTGAATCCATCTTCTCCGTCTGTGGGAAGTGAGGGGTGCCCTGCCAAAGTAAGTGAAAGACTGTAGTGACCCCATGCACGCTCCATGGTATCTTGGTGAATTCATTAAGAAAAGATCACCACTTTTGTGTAGGATGACTAGACCTCAATAGCATCGTATTTAATTTATAAAACCATGCATTTTCCCACCATGATATCGCTTGCTTACTCTCTTGCTATTTGAAGGTATCTGATGCTTCTGTATACATTTGAAAGAAAAACTACTGCAACAAAACAGTTTTTCATGTTTTATTGTTTACATTTTTCTGGCTTCATAGTACAAGTGTTATTCCTGCCCTGATTTTCCTTCCCTCCCTTCGTTCCTTCGTTCCTTCCTTCCTTCCTTCGTCCTTCCCTCCCTCCGTCCTTTCTTTCTTTCTTTCTTTCTTTCTTTCTTTCTTTCTTTCCTTTTCTTTTCTTTCTTTTTCTTTTCTTTCTTTTTCTTTCTTTCTTTTCTCTTCTTTTCTTTCTTTCTTTCTTTCTTTTCTCTTCTTTTCTTTTCTTTCTTTCTCTCTCTCTCTTTTTTTATGGGATCTGGCTCTGTGGCCCAGGCTGGAGTACAGTGGCATGATCTTGGCTCACTGTAACCTCTGCCTCCCAGTTCAAGCCGTCCTCCCACCTCAGCCTCCCAAGTATCTGGGACAACAGGCATGTGCCACCAAGCCTGGCTAATTTTTTGTATTTTTGATAGAGATGGAGTTTTGCCATGGTGCCCAGGCTGGTCTTGAACTCCGGAGCTCAAGCAGTCTGTCTGCCTCAGCCTCCCAAAGTTCTGGGATTGCAGGCATGAGCCACCGTGCCCAGCCTGATTTTCTTTCTTAAAACCTATTAGTAGCCTGCTTTGGTTGTTGACTTTCACAGACTTTCATTTCCTGTGGCTCAAATTCAAATCAGCTCACACTTTTAATGACATAACATTGGATCTCTAATAACTTAGCTGGCTTTCTTCCTTATTAATGTTAAACTACGTGCCTCAGAGTAATATTAATGAATATCCTTAATTAATACCAGAAAACTTTATGGATGAAATTAAACAGTGGTTACCAGCAACTATAAGACAACCTCGTATATTTCCTTCTATTTTGATGCTGTATCATTTTCTTCTGTAGATTTATTTAAATACAGACAAGGCAGTAGAGAATAATATTTATATAAGTATTATTAGAATAAATAATAGGTTCATAGCATGAAAGACAAATCAAGATTGATAAGAATACCTTACAATTTTCTCCCAACTACCTTCAGAGTCAGACCAAAATAGAAAGTCTCCAAAGGTTTGTTTATATATGTACATATTTCAGCTTCAGATAGCAATGTAATTGTTAAATGCTATATTGAATTTGTTCTCTCTTTTGAATTCTGGAAAGATTCAAAGAGAATCAACTGAGAATTAACTGGCTTTGCTACTGAAAATTCAGTGTGAGTTTTATTGTTCATGAAGAAAAAGGATTATGAGGTCAGGTGCATAGCTATTGCAAGGACATTAAGTAGGATTTTTATTTTTTTTGTTTGTTTTAAGCAACCTCTAGAAACCAGTCAATGTGTTATGTTCCTGTGCTTATCCACTTTGTCCCCTGGACATCTGGTGGCTCATCTCTAGCCTCGTTTAGCTTCCATGACCTGGATCCTCCTGGCAACCCAAAAGGACTCACACCATGCCAGCTCCCCTGCACTGCCCACGTCTATTTCATGCTCTGAGACTCTCATGCTCACAGAGATGACACATGATCCCACCTCAAACACTCCCCTGCTCCATTGCCTTAGCCCTTTGTGTGCCTCTGTTGGAGGCAGAATCTGATCAAAGTTGTCTTTCCCTCTATCCAGTGCAAGTCGGGCGCTAGTCTTTCGTGTCTCCCACCAGCAAGGAGCACATATGAGTGTTATCCAAGAGGCCTCCACCACATCCTTCACTAGGCTTCCAACTAGAAAGTCATCCCAAGGAGGATCTGGAGGCAGAAACCACCCAGAAGCCACTGGCTCCATCTCCCTTGTTGAACTTTTTTTTTTTTTTTTTGAGACGGAGTCTCGCTCTGTTGCCCAGGCTGGAGTGCAGTGGCTCAATCTCAGCTCACTGCAAGCTCCGCCTCCCGGGTTCAGGCCATTCTCCTGCCTCAGCCTCCTGAGTAGCTGGGACTACAGGTGCCCACCGCCATGCCTGGCTAATTTTTTGTATTTTTAGTAGAGACGGGGTTTCACCGTGTTAGCAAGGATGATCTCGATCTCCTGACCTCGTGATCCACGCGCCTCAGCCTCCCAAAGTGCTGGGATTACAGGCGTGAGCAACCGCGCCCGGCCATCATCCCTTATTTTCTAGAGGAAAATAGAGCTTCGGGTTGTCATGAGCCTCTGAGAATGGCGTTCGCCTAAAACCAATCCTACCTTCAACCATTTCTTTTTCTTAACATTATAACTTCCTGTATTACTTTAGAGGTAATCCCTCTTGGCATTTTAAAAATTTAAACATTTTGAAGTGATCTCAGGCACTTGCGAAATGCTGACACTTGTCCAAAGGCTGTGTCTGCCATACAGGTACTGGTGTTTATCTTGTTTTTAGTCTTTTGGGTCCTTACTGTGAGTTAATAGACAAAGATGATGATGACAGGGACATTAACAGAAAGGTTCTCCTAAGAGAGCTCCTATGTTATTTTCTCAGCCAAACACATAAGCTCTATCTCTATTTGCTGGCTGTAGTGTTAGCTAAGCAATGACAAGAACTTTCTAAGGTAACTAGGCCCCCTCAAGAAAAAGTGGCATAGGGGAAAACAGCAATATTGTGATAATTTCTAAGAATGTCTACACTTTTACATTTGTCCCTAGAAATGAATTCTGCAGTTGTCATAATCAATCCTAATATATTTAGACCCTAAATCCTATATCCCAGAGTTAAAGTGAATAGGTATTTCTATAGCTCAGTTTCTTCTTCATAGTCTGTCCTGACTGTGGCTGTAATGAAAGACTCTTTGTACCTTGTAGTATTCACTGTAAAATTTAAGTGTCTTCTAGACAGGATCTGTGAAGCTAGGAAGCTAGGTCTTCCATGTTAACACCAAATTATTGCCTCCTGAGCAACGTAGAATCCCAGACCACGTGTAGGAAAATACCAGAGAGTATCTCAAACTGTCCAGAGGCTTAATCTGGTATGGCCTGGGGCCTGATATTGCATACCGCCCCTCACCAGAAGATGTCCATATCTAAGAGACTGTCCTATTGTGTACACTTCCAGTTTTTATTATGTCAGCCAACAACCAGTAAAAAAGGGAATAGGGAGACCTGGGGCAGAGTGGGAAGCAGGTGGGCTTTGGAATCAGATAGACATGAGTCCATTATTTACGAGGCCCACCTTGCACAGTGATTTGCCCTTTCTAAGATTCAGCAGTCTTACTTATAAAATGGAAATATATCTACCTACCTTGCAGTGTTAGTTGAACATTAAATGAGATTATATGGGTAAAAGCAGCTAGCAGATCACTTTAGCATCTCACTTGACAGGTGAAAGACAATAAATTTTCAGCTTTCTTCGTGAAAAGAAACAGAGAGTAGCAAAAAAAAAGGAAAAAGCAAAAAAAAAATGGAATATGGAAACAGATAATGCAAATGCAGCTCCTGTACTTCATGGTTTTAATGACATCTATGAATCTCACAGAGGACAATCAAGGAGCATCACAACCTTTGTCTTCAGTTCTGAGGTCCCAACCAGAATAACTCTGAAGACCACTCCCATAGCCATCTCTTTTTTCCTCCAGCCTTATCATTCCACTCTTCCATTTAGGGATAACTTGCATGAAATAGTCTGACCTTGACTTAAGGCTGATGTGGTCACCATGGTGTTAATGCTAATCTATGACCCCTCTCTCTTAGTACCCTTTATTTTTGAACTCTTTTATTTCCTGTATGCTTGCATTTTTATTTAAGCCTTTATTCTGGAATGTGGGATCTGTCCTCTAGGTGCAGGAACGCAAGACTTAGAACAAAGCAGCCTTTCTTTGTCTTTATCAACCTGTTTACCTGAAATAAGTCAGACTGTTGACTTTCCTCTTCAAAGGGATGGTTCCTTTACCCACCTATGAAACTTTTTGAACTGTTTGGGGAATACTTTTATCCCCAACATTTTTGTTATTTAAATATGTAAGTCCTGGAGCCATCTGCCAATGCAATGACTAAAACATGTTTCCTTCAAAAGTTGAATCTGAAACTCGTGAAACAGGGCGTTGCCACCCTTCCATAATATGGAACATGGATCATGGGATACATGTGGATATAATATAGAAAGGTATCATGTAATGATACCTTTTATTCTATATCAGTATGTGCCAGATATTATACTAAGGCCAGTCATAAAGAGTGGACTAAAACACACTCCTTGATTCCTAAAACTCGTAGTCCAGTGTCGCATTTTATGAACATAGTCATTAACACAGCAGGATGAGTATGACTGCACCATTTGTTTTCTGAAGGGAGATACAGATGCTCATGTTGTTTATAGGACGTACTCAGGTTCAGAGCTAGCGGTGGGAGAGCCAGGCCTGGAACTAGGGGGTGGTGTGGGTCCAGGCAGGTAAGTAGCTCCAGCAAGAATGAGATCCTGACTTTATGTATCTATCCTGCAAAAAGAAAGAATAAATAGAATGCAATAGTCCGCAGAGGATATAGCTGTATTTATAGGTGTCTTATTATATTTTACTCATGGTTTTCATATGTCCTTTTGCTTTTGAAAAAATAGCTGTATTTATAGGTGTCTTGTTGTATTTTAAAATGGTATTTTAAAACGGTTTTCACATATCCTTTTGCTGTTTTTAAAAGTCCAGAGTTCAGGGCATTTTTCATATATTATAGACCACACACCCCTGACCTAGGGGAATCCAACTAACATGTGTAGAATACCCCTGCCAGGGATGTTTATACAATATACACCCTAGAGGGCTATTGCCAACAGGGCTGCCTGATAAGTCCTATCTTCAATATTTAGATATGATAATATTGTGTAACAACCTACATACGTTATTATTTCAAAAAGGATCTACATTTTTATTTTTATTTATTTATGTTTTTTAAAACAGAATCTCACGTTGTCGCCCAGGCTGGAGTGCAGTGGTGCGATCTTACCTCACTGCAACCTCCACCTCCCCGGTTCAAGCAATTCTCCTGCCTCAGCCTCCTGAATGGCTGGAATTACAGGCGCATGCCACCACGCCCAGCTAATTTTTTGTATTTTTAGTAGAGACGGGGTTTCACCATGTTGGCCAGGCTGGTCTCAAACTCCAGGCCTCAAGTGATCCTCCCGCCTCAGCCTCCCAAAGTGCTGGGATTATAGGCATGAGCCACCGTGCCCGGCCTAAAATTTTTAAAATATATAAACTATATTTAAGCCTGGGCGACATAGTGAGATTCCATCTCTACAAAACATTAGCCAGGTATGATGGTGCATGCCTATAATCCTAGCTACTCAGGAGGCTGAGGCTAAGAGGATTCCTTGCGGCCAGGAGTTCGAGGTTGCAGTGAGCTATATCATGCCACTGCACTCCAGCCTAGGTAGCAGAGTGAAACCCTGTCTCTAAAATACACACACAAACACACACACACACACACACACACACACACATATTTAGTTTACAGAAATTATTCGTAAAAAAAAAGAGATAAGAAAGTAGGGTCTTATTTTTGTTATGGTTTTTCAGAAGGTTAATTGAAAAACTATGAAGCAATCACTATCAATTTTAAAAGTCTTGAGATTGATATTCCCATTAGAATAAAAAGCTTAAATATCACAGATCTGTGACACGATCTAACTGAAAGACTTTTAAGTTATGTCATTATATTTTCCTGAATCGATTTGCCTTCATAAATATATAAAGTATCTTTATTTTCAAAAGCCAGAAATGGAGTTATCCTAACAGCATTTTTGTTGAATGTTTTTCATTTTGTTTTCCCTTTCACAGTTCTGCTATTACACCTTTCAATAAAAAAAAACCAGGTAACACCTGATCCTTCTAAAGCTTTTAATTCAAGTAAAGGTGATATGCTACCTTGCCTTTTGAATACTTTTATTTGATCCGATTTGACACGAGCATTTATTATTCCAACCTCAAGAATGGATTGGAAGCCATTAGCCAGAAATGTAGTGAGGAAAGGGAAATTTGAAATAACAGTTCAGAATCTTTAAAATATACTTAAAGTCAATTTAATGTAAAATATGATATATTATGTGCATTTTACCTAGAGTGTAGAAAATATACATAATATGATTTTTTACCTTTCAAAAAACCATGAGGTCACTTTTAGGTCGGATTGACACAGAATAATCATTCTAGTACTTAATATCTCTATAAAATAAAGTTAGCCTCCTAAGTATGTCAACATTTACTCCAGAAAAAAAAATTAAGGTCATAACACTAAAAAGGACTCTTAACTTACTAAGGACTCCAGACAGAATTGCCAGAAACTAACTACTGAAGAATATAGTGGGAGAAATACACCAAATTGTAGGATGACAAAGATAATATAGTATTTGGGTTGACTTGTGTATTTAATGTTTCAATAATTTAATGAAGCCCCACACATATACACACACAAAGAATAATGCGTTAGTAGCTTGTATTAACAGGATTTTAACATCTAGCTAAATTGCAGTGAAACTTCTACTTGTCAAAGTGCTGAAGAAACTCAATTTTAGCATTTTGTGCCCAATCCTCTGCACCATACTTTAAAAAGAATGTGGATGAGCTGGAGTTAAGAGGTGAATGGATGGACGGTAAGGAGGCAAACTAAAAAAAAGCAAGAACAAAAAAAAATTGTGAAATTATTAATAAGATTAGTGACCCTAGGAATGAGAATTCCCATGGAAAGTGTCTTCCTATTTTGAAATGTTATTAAACAGAGTTGGAATAAAGTTTATTGGTTTACCACACATTGGGTTCTGTATGACTACTATGAAAATGACTGGAAAATAAAATATCAATATAAAAGCTTCCTAATACTCAAAGCTATCTAAAGGTCATTGCCAACTTCTAATGATGCAAATGATAAATTCAAGTAGATTAGAAGTCATGAGCCAGAAACAGAATGGAGAAAAGGCAATCACTGGATAGAAAATGAGATTCATAATTTTAGAGTTCTTTCCAGCACTGAAGCAATAAGAATTAGATCACCTTCTTTGCTTCCCCAGTCTATTAGTTTAGGGTTGAATGCATGCCAAGCATTCAACAAAGACGTCACGGATAAAAATGCTTAAGCAGAGAAATGGAAATGTACTTCATCAGAATGTTCAATATAGAAACAATAATCATTGAATTCTTCCTGACTTCAATTTAAGCAAATCCTAATCACAAAGTAGTGAGAATAGTTGATTTATTTATGCTTTTTAAAACCAATATATAATCAGCATTTTGTAGCATTTTCGTTGACCCTGACCAGATCACTTGTTTTAACATCTGTCAGACCATGATCTCTTGAAGAGCAGAAAGTCTGTCTTCAATTCCCTATCCTAAACCTAACATTTTGTAGCATACAACTTAATGCAAAATATTGAGTCTGAGTAGTTGAGAAAATGGTGGACATATGAAATTTACAAAGGATTTTGCTAAGGGTTCGTAGCAGATTTGGAACAGTGAGTTTGTTTTAGGGCATGCTGAGTGTGATGACATGACATTCAGATGGAGCGAGATCTTGTCAATAGTTGTAGACATGAGACCAAAATTTGAGGGATGTTTTGGGATATAGAATTGATTCTGAAACTCATTAAGCTAAAGGTAATAGTTAAACCCTGATACAAGGTCAGTTTGTTAGAGGAAGGCATAGAGAGTGAAAGAGGATTTGTTATTCATTTGGAAGGTCTCTTGTCTTTCTTCTATCTTGCCTGTAGTCCCATAAATGTCCCTACGTATCTATTTTTCTTCAAATAAATTTGTATAGAATAGCCTGGCGAAGCAAGCGTGTGTGTGCCTGTGTGTGTACAAATCCATTAAAATATGAAGTTAAATGTTAACAGTGATCAAAAGAAAGCTGGAGTAGCTAGATTAATTTCAGACAAAGCCAACATCAGAGCAAGGAAAATTATCAGAGATAAAGAGGAATATTACATAATGATAAAAAGATCAATTCTTCATAAAGACATAATAATATTTGATGTCTATGCATTTAACAACAGAACATCAAAGTATGAGGCAAACACTGAAAGAAGTACAAGGAGAAATGGATAAATACGCTATTTTATTTTGAGACTGTAATACCCCTCTATCAGTAATTTACAGTTCAAGCAGGCAGAAAATCAGTAAGGAACTAAGAACAAGGTTTAACTGAAGTTCACCGTCAATCAACTGGATCTAACTGACATCTATAGAATACTTAATACAACAGCAGCAGAATACACGTTCTTCTCAAGCTTCCATGGAGCACTCACTAGAAGAGATTGCACTCTGTGTCAAAAAACACACCTTAACAAATTTAGAATAGAAATCACACAAAGTATGTTCTCAGACCAAAATGATATAAAACTAGAAATCAGAACAGCTAGAATATCTCAAAATACTAGTAGATTAAACAACACACTTCTAAATAACACATGGGTCATAGAAGCAGTCTCAAGAGAAATATAAAAATATTTCAAACTAGCTTAAAATAAAAATATGCTTTATCAAAATTTTTAGGATCCAGTGAAAGCAGTGCTTAGAGAGAAATTTATAGCATTGAGTACATGTACTAGAAGAAAGAAAGATCTAAAATTAGTAATCTAAACTTCCACATTTGGAAACTAGGAATAGGAGAACAAGTTAAATCCAAAGTAAGTAGAAGAGAAGAAATGATAAAAATTAAAGCAGGTATCAATGAGAATGGCAAGAGAATATAGAGAAAATCAATAAAATCAAAACTTTTTTTGGAAAAAACCAGTAAAGTCAATAATCCTCTAGCCAGGTTAACTAAGGAATAAAGGGAGAAGACACAAATTACTAATATCAGAAATATAAAAGGGTCTATATCTACTGATTCTGTGACACTAAAAGCATAATAATGAAATATTCTAAACAACTCTATGCCCAGAAATTTGAAGGCCTAGATGAAATGGACCAAAAGAAAAAAAAAAAAAAAAAACAGGAAAGAAAGAAAGAAAAACACAATGTACTAAAACTTACCAAGAAAATAGATAATATATATGGGCCTATATATATTAATGAGAAGGCCTACATCTTAACATCTATTATTAAAGATTAACCTATTCAATTAAAGAAATTAGGCCAGGAGTGATGGCTCATGCCTGTAATCCCAGCACTTTGGGAGGCCGAGACAGGAGGATCAGTTGAGCCCAGTTGTTCAAGACCAGTCTGGGCAACACAGCAAGACCCTGTCTCAAAAATTTAAAAAACAGTAAATTAAATGAAGAAATTGAATCAATAATTAATAACCTTCTAAGACAGGAAGCACCAGCCCAGATGGGTTCACTGATGAATTCTAGCAAAGAGGGACAAATTATATCAATTCTTTACAATCTTTTCCAGAAAATAGCAGAGTGGCTACCTCCTAACTCATTCTATGAGGCTAGCATTACCCCAATACCCAAAGCAAACAAAGTCATTGCAAGGAAGGAAAACTACACACCAATGTCTCTCATGAACAAAGATGCAAAAATCCTCAACAAAATATTAGGATATCATGTCCAGCGTTGTACAAGAAGAATTTTACACCACAGTGAAGTGGGAATTATTCCAGGTATTCAAGACTGGTTCAACATTTGAAAATCAATTGATATAATTGATTACTTCTACAGGCTAAAAAGAAAAAAATCATATATCCATATTATAAAGACTAATGAATTAGACTTCATTAAAATTAAAATCTTTTACTCTATAAAAGATGTTATGAGAATTCAAGCCACAGACTGGGACAATATTAGCAAAACAACTGATATTTTGGACTGGTATTCAAAATATACAAATAACTCTTAAAACTCAACAATAGTAATAAAACAGCCAATTAAAAATGGACAAAGGATCTGAACAGACACTGCACCAAAAAACATACACAGAGGGCAAAAAGATGCTCAACATCACGTCATTAGGGCTAAATTAAAACAACAATTGCATACCACTGCACACCTATTAGCATGACTAAAATCCAAAACACTAGCAACATCCAATGCTGGTGAGGATGTGGAACATCAGGAACTCTCATTCTCTGCTGGTGGAAATGCAAAATGGTACAGCTACTTTGAAAGACAATTTGGGAGTTTCCTATAAAACTAAATGAATTGTTACTATACAATATAGCATTCCCACTCCTTCGTATTTACCCAAATGAATAGGAAAGTTCTGTTCACACAAAAACCTACAAATGTTTATGGCAACTTTATTCATAATTGCCAAACCATGGAAACAATCAAGATGTCCTTCAAAAAATAACTATGGTATATTCATACAATGGAAGGTGTATTAGTTCATTCTCATGCTGCTAATAAAGACATACCCAAGACTGGGTAATTTATAAAAGAAACAGGTTTAATTGACTCAGTTCAGCATGGTTGGGGAGGTCTCAGGAAACTTACAATCATGGCAGAAGGGGAAGCAAACATGTCCTTGTTCACATGGTGGTAGCACGGAGAAGGGCAGAACAAAGCGGGAGAAGCCCCTTATAAAACCGTCAGATCTCCTGAGAACTCACTCACTATCATGAGAACAACGTGGGGGTAACCACCCCCATGATTCAATTACCTCCCACCAGGTCCCTCCCACAACACATGGGGATTACGGGAACTACAATTCAGATGAGATTTGGGCAGGGACACAGCCAAACCATATCAGAATGTTTTTCAATGATAGAATGGGATGAGCTATCAAGCCACAAAAAGACATGGAAGGACTTTAAATGCATCGTACAAATGAAAGAAACCAGTCTTAGAAGGCCAGTTATCATATGATTCCAACTCTATGACATTGTGGAAAAGGCAAAACCACAGAGACAGGAAAAAGATGAAGGGTTGAAGGGAAAGCAGGGATGATGAAGAGGAAGAGCACAGATTTTTAGGACAGTGAAAATATTTTGTAAGATACCTTAATGGTGGATACATATTGTTATACATTTATCACAGCCTATACAGTGTATGTAGCACCAAGAGTGAACCCCAATGCAAGCTCTGGACTTTAATTACTATTAATGTATCAATATTGGCTCAACAACTGAAACAATGTACCACATCAATATAAGATGTTAATAATACAGGGGACTTTGGGGTGGGATGAGGGGACATACGGGAATTCTCTGTTCTCTGTACTCAATTTTCTGTAAACCTAAACTACTCAAAAATAAAGTCCATGACATAACAAAAAAAAATAGAGATATAACTTTTTTACAAAGTGAAACAGAGGGCACATCATAGGAGAGTATAATGAACTCAACAAAATATCCGACCACAAGAACAAAACAGCGTCATGTGGTGATATCAGCAGATAAAGTGAATTTTACTTGCCTAACATCAGGTCCACCTATATAGAAAAGCTGATGGTTGTTCCACTGTGTGTCTTTGTATGCCATATAGACAAGACCTTGAAGTAAAATACAAAGCCCATGTATTGGTTCTCTACTTTACTCAGTGTGCTTGGCTTTGTTTGTCTTATTTGGTAGATTCATTCTTGACATGATCAATGTGATTTAAAAAGAAGCAGAGTCCCACAAAAATGACTCAGATATTTTTTCTCTGAAAAATCACACTAATCATAAGAGAAATATTTTTCTCCTTATGATTATTGTGAGAAATCCTGCCATTGATTTCTCCTGGATGAGAATTGATACATGCAAAATATTTCTTCAGAGAATGCTAAAAATTCAAAATTATCTTTTGAAGGATTAGTTGCACCACGGTTGTATGGACACCCCACATGTTGTTCTGAGGCATGATTGTATATTAATTGTGTACTTTAAACAAACAAGTATATGATAAAATATCGTTATTCCTGTGGAATACATTTTTCTAACTATACTATTCATACAATAGTTTGGCAAGAAAAAAAGGAATAAGAGAAGTAAAGTGGTACATTTCTTTGATTTTCACTGAAAAAAATCTGTGCATTACACAGTTGATTCATTCATTTAGTATGTCTTTCAACCAACATTTATAGTTTCCCACACTAAAGGCTAAAGAGAAGAGGATGAAAAATACTGCCCCAGTGACTGAGATACTCAGAGTCCAGAATAAGTAGAACGGGGGTGTAAATGAATAATTATTATGCAAATACTATAATGAGATCTATAGTAGAGCTATGAATATAGCTGTTTTGAAACAGAGGTTTACGTTGAGCTAATGTTAGGATCTAGAGAACTTTTCACGCATAAAGACAGCAGAATAAATCACAAAATAAGCGGGCTAATACATTTTATTAAAAACTTGATTTTGTGTTTAAAAATATAATTGAAAGGCATAGAGATAATCTGAAAATACTTGGAGCAAGATAAATAAATTTTGATATTCTGAATGTATAAAATAATTAAACAATTCAGAAATATCATGATTTCACATAAACTAGATAAAGGGCTTAAACTGACCATGTATAAAAGAAAATATATAAATGGCTATTAAAAATTGGGAAAAGAGTTTAACCTTTCTAGTCATAAATTAAGACAAAGAGATGACAATTTTTTTCAATATATTTTATTTTAAAATTTCAAATTAATTGTATGCAATCCTGGCAAGAGCAATAGAAAGACAAGTGTTTCTAAATGCTATGGTGGGTGTGTGCATTGGTATTATCTGTATAAAAATTAATTTGACAATATGAATTAAAAAGATAAAATCTTTTTCACAAGTAGATTAACTTGTCCAGAGCTATACAATAAAATTAGAGTGGTTAAACATAGGGTAGCTAACATTTGAAATCGCATAGCTATTCAACTTACCGGGGTGGTTAAATAAGATATATCCACAAGACAGTATATTGTATAACTCAAAATGAGAATTTTAAAGACTTGGAAAGATGTGGAGAAAAACTATGCTGAAATGTGAAATAAAATCACTCGAGCCCGGGAGGTCAAGGCCACAGTGAGCCGTGACCATGCCGTTGCATTCCAGCCTGGGCGACACAGTGAGACCATGTCTCAAAAAAAAAGGAAGAAACAAAGAAGAAAAGGAAGACATTATCTAAATATAAGAAATTATCTAAATATAAGAAATTGGATAAGAAATTTAGATAATTTCTTCCTTTTCTTCTTTGTTTCTCCTTTTTTTTTTTTTTTTTTTGAGACATGGTCTCACTCTGTCGCCCAGGCTGGAATGCAACAGCATGTGTAATCTATGGACGCGCTTGTTAAATAAACGAGTGAATAAATAAATATTATATTGTTTGCAATGATTCTACCATCCAAAAAAAGGTTATATGTAATATGATCCCAATTTTGTTTATAAAAATAGATACCTAGAGAAACAGTTAAGAGACAATATACTGAATATTGATTGTAACTATTCTGGGATATTTGATATCATAGGCAATTTTAATTTTCTATAAAGAGATGTCACATTTATACTCTGAAAAATTGTGGATAAAGTATCCTTAAATCCTCCTGTTTGGCCTGTAACGTCCGAGATGAAGGTAGGCATGCTTCTGCCATGCCTGGAAATAGTCAGAACACACAGAGTGTATGGTATCCCATCCCAAGCACTGCATACTTAGGGGACAACATGTAGAAACTCTGCCCATCTTTTGAGCAGAGTGAACAGAACAACCCGTGTAGGCCGGGGAGGGGATGTGAAGTACTAAAGTAAGTGAGAGGACATGAAAAATTAAGCTTAAGGCAGAGAAGTTAGATGCTGTTACTCATCTGTCTTCAAGTATTTAAGCAGCTGTCATTGGAAAAAGGAGTAAGATTAGCCTGCTTTGCTTTGGATAAAAGGAGGCAGATTTTGTCTGAATGAAAACTGTTTTCATCCTTCTAATTGTCCAGTGGATGGCATCACATGGCAGGGAGATCTCTGCCGTCTGAAAAGTCCAGACGAGGCGTAGCGTCTCCTTTCCTGAGTCATTACTTGGATCTTCTCCCCTACTATTCAGTGCTTTGCATTAGGAGAGGGTGAAATTGGAGTGTTATTGAGTAAAGGAACTCGGATTGAAATTTGAGAGCATCATATTCCAGCCAATTTAATAAAAAGAGATGGTGCATAACGCTTTTTTCTGAATTCAAATTTTTAAATTGGATACATTACAGATTTGTATGACATTAAGCAAACTGGGAATAGATGACCAAGAGGGGAGAAAAAAAGTTTGAGATTTAAATTCCAGTTGTATTATCAAGAGTGAAGCTTGCTCCTTGGTAGACCGTCTTTTCCCATGATCAAAGTCCGTGATCTTGCACGTGCAATTAATGCCTGATTCTCTTTTAGCCAGTGATGTGGTATTTAAGACCAGGGTGTGATTGTCACACAGTGAAAGCAATCATCTAAATTGTCTCTATCAATTATTATCTTTGTTCAGCCTCAAAAATGTATATGTGACATTTCTCTTAAATAGCTCCAGAAAGGGGGTTCCAGAAGTGTTCCCAAGAGAACATTCCTGAATGTTTTTTGTATGTTTCGTAATCAGCATGGATTTTCATATATTTGCCATTTCTAAAATGAAGAACATGCTTTTTTTTTTTTTTTTTTTTTTTTTTTTGAGACGGAGTCTTGCTCTGTCGCCCAGGCTGGAGTGCAGTGGCCTGATCTCGGCTCACTGCAAGCTCCGCCTCCCGGGTTCACGCCATTCTCCTGCCTCAGCCTCCTGAGTAGCTGGGACTACAGGTGCCCGCACCACGCCCGGCTAATTTTTTGTATTTTTAGTAGAGACGGGGTTTCACCGTGTTAGCCCGTATGGTCTCCTCCTGCCCTCGTGATCAGCCCGCCTCGGCCTCCCAAAGTGCTGGGGTTTCAGGCGTGAGTCACTGCGCCCGGCCAGAACATGCTTTGAAATCTGGTAGTACATGTAATGAATGACTGCTGCCTTTTATCAGTTCACAGATTGAACCAATTTTTGCAAGTGATATTGTCTGTTCTTCTGACTATTGTTACTGTGAGGAGTGTTGTTAAATTTTCAAATGATTCCCATCATTGGCTTCATTATCTCAAATGTTGGGAATGTAGCTTTCGTATTAATCTGGACCAAGAAGTTGTATCTTACGCTGTCGTTGAGAGAGTGTTATCATAATGTAAATAATATAATTTTTGCTATAATTATTTCATGTTGCTAACATGCTTGGTTATCTTGAAGAAGCAATTCCTCTAAAAATGTCTGTATTCCCCTGTAGTCGTTTCTGATAAAACTATTCTTTATTTACTACTTTAAGAGAAGTGATTGCAACTGATACATTCTCCAAGACAGACAATATTTTCCCTGGGAAATACTATACTTATTTTTTTCTAAGAAAATCAGGCCTAGAAATCTCTTTAAACATGCATGTGGTTGCATTACCTTAGTTATTCATATGATGTCCTACATTTTACCTCATTATTTAAAAATACTCAAAAATGCACTTGAAAAGATTTATGTAATTGTGTGGTTACTTAGCAACCTTCATTAATACTTGATATTTCACCACCAGTTCTTAACACACACTGACAAGGGTAATCACAGACAATGTTGGTTGTGATCCAGATGACTTAAAATTGGTCTTTTCCTTCATCAAGTTTCACTGTTCAGAAAAGTGCCACTTAGAGCAACACAAAACCCCCAGGAATCCCTTAGCTTGAGTTGCTGCTTGTGTGCCTTAGAGCCAGGGGAAAGTAATGTTTATGTTGATAATTTCCTTTTTGTCTTGTTTGGCTCTTACTTACCTTTGATTGTGAGAGGAAAGGGTGAGGTTCTATATTCTTGGGTCCCTGAAGTTCTTTTCCACAGAGCAGAGGCAACATTGGAGAATCAATACCTCTGTCTTCATCAAGTTGGGGAAAAAGATGGGCAGTAGATAATAACAGTTAGTTTATTAGTGCCTAGAGAACATTCACCAGGTACCAGGTTTTATTCCTGGTACTTTATATAAATTACCATATAATAATCACAACAACTACAGGTAGTAGAGGCATACCTTGGAGATATTTGGGGTTAAATTCCAGATGACAGAAATAAAGCAAATATCACAATAAAGTAAATCACACACATTTTTTGGTTTCCTAGTGCATATAAAAGTTATGTTTACACTATACTGTAGTCTATTAAGTGTGCAATAGCATTATGTCTAAAAAACAATGCACATACCTTAATTTAAACATACTTTATTACTGAAAAATGATAACAATCATCTGAGCCTTTAGCAAAAGTTGTAACCTTTTTGTTTGTGGGAGATCTTGCCTCAGTGCTGATAGCTGCTGACTGATCTGGGCGGTGGTTGCTAAAGGTTGGAGAAGCTGTAGCAACTTCTTAAAATAAAACAACAATAAAGTTTGCCACATCAATTGACTCTTTTTTTTGCAAAAGATTTCTCTGTAACATGTGATGCTGCTTGATAGCATTTTACCCGCAGTAGAACTTCTTTGAAAATTGGAATACATCCTTTCAAACCCTGTCCTCGTTTTATCAACTAAGTTTATATAATATTCTAAATTCTTTGTTGTTATTTCAACAATGTTCACACCATCTTCACCGGAAGTAGATTTCATCTTAAGAAACAACTTTATTTGCTCCATAAGAAGCAACTCCCCCTTTGTTCGAGTTTTATCATGAGGTTCAACAATTCAGTCAAATCTGTAGGCTCCACTTCTAATTCTAGTTCTCTCGCTATTTCCACCACATCTGCGATTACTTCTTCCAAACTCTTGAATCCCTTAATCATCCCTAAGGGCTGGGATCAACTTCTTCCAAACTCCTGTTAATGTTAAGATTTTGACTCCTCCCATGAATCATAAATGTTCCTAATGGTATCTAGAATGATGACCCCTTTGCAGAAAGTTGTCAATTTACTTTGCCCCATTCCATCAGAGGAATCTGATCATCTACAATAGCTGTAGCCTTACAAATGCATTTCTTAAGTAATAAGACTTGAAAGTCAAAATTACTCTTTCATCCATTGACTACAGATTAAATGTTGTGTTAGCAGGTATGAAAACAACATTATCTCCTTGTACATCTCCATCAGAGCTCTTGGGTGACCAGGTGCATTGTCAGTGAGTGGGTATATTTTGAAAGGAATCCTTTTCTCTGAGCAGTAGGTCTCAACACTGGGCTTTAAATATTCAGTAAATGACGATGTAAACAGATCTGCTGTCATCCAGGATTTGTTGTTTCATTTGTAGAACACAGGCACAGTAGATTTAGCATAATTCTTATGGGCCCTAGAATTTTCGGAATGATCAATGAACATTAGCCTCAACTTACAATCACCAGCATCATTACCTGATAACAAGAGAGTCAGCCTGTCCTTCCAAGCTTTGAAGCCTGGCACTGACTTCTCCTGTCTAGCTATGAAAGTCTTAGATGGCATCTTCTTCCTGTAGAAAGCTCTTTTGTCTACATCGAAAATCAACTATCTTAGCTAGATCTGGATAACTTGCTGCAGCTTCTCCATCAACACTTGCTGCTTCCATCTTGCACTTTTATGTTATGGAGATGGCTCCTTTTCTTAAACTTCATGAACCAACCTCTGCTAGTTTCCAACTTTTTTTCTTCAGCTTCCTTATTTCTTTCAGTCTTCATAGAATTGATGACTTAGGGCCTTGCTGTAGATTAGGGTTTGGTTTAAGGGAATGTTTTGGCTGCTTTGGTCTTCTATGTAGACCACTCAAACCTCTTCCTATCAACAGTAAGGCTGTTTTGCTTTCTTATCATTTGTGTGTTCACTAGAGTAGCACTTTTCAAGTGCTTTTGAAGAACTTTTTCTTTGCATTCACAACTTGGCTGTTTGGCTCAAAAGTCTTAGCTCTCATCCTATCTCAGCTTCCAACATGCTTTCCCTCACTAAGCTTAATATTTTCTAGTTTTTTGCTTAAATTGAGAGACTTGGGACTCTTCCTTTCACTTGAACACTTAGAAGTCATTGTAGGGTTATTATTGGCCTGATGTTGATATTGTTGTAGCTCAGAAAATAGGGAAGCCTGAAGAGTGGAAGATGCAGCAGTCAGATCACACACAATATTTATCAATTAGGTTTGCCATCTTAAATGGGAAATGGCCTGTGGCATCCCAAAACGATCACGACAATAACATCAAGCATCACTGATCACAGGTCACCATGGCAGATACGATAATAATGAAAAGGTCTGAAATATTACTAGAATTGCCAAAATCTGACTCAAGGATACAAAGCAAGCAAGCACATGCTATTGGAAAAATGGCACCAGTAAACTTGCTGGACACAGGGTTGTCACAAACCTTCAATCTGCAAAAAGAACAAAACAAAAACAAAAACCCACAATATTTGTGAAGAACAATAAATCAGAGCACAATAAAATGAGATATGCCTTTACTGTTATCTTTTCTCTTTACAGATAAGGAATCTCAGACATGGGACATTTAAGTTGTGCAAAGTTCCACAAGTACTAAATGAGGAAGCTGTTACTGAAGGCAGGTGTTCTGGTCCCAGGACCCATACTCTTTATCACAACACCTTCCTGCCTCTTGGTAAATCCAGTACGGGTGCGGAATGTGATCATATATAAACTTTCTTCTTAATTTCACATTACTCTGTTAGGTTGGTGTGTTCGACCATTCTTGCATTGCTATAAAGGAATACATGAAACTGGATACTTTATAAAGAAAAGAGGTTTAATTGGCTCATCGTTCTACAGGCTGTGGCAGCATGGCTCCAGTATCTGCGTCTGGTGAGGCCTCAGGTAGCTTACAATCAGAGTGGAAGGCGAAGGGGTGAGCAGGCACATCACACAGTGAGAGCAGGAGCAAGAGAGAGGAGGGGAGGCACCACACACTTTTAAACAACCAGATCTCTCGGGAACTTACTCATCACCAAGGGGAGGGTGCTAAGCCATTCATGAGGGATCCACCCCCATGATCCAAACACCTCCCACCAGACCCCACCTCCAACACTGGGGATTCCCTTTCAACATGAGATTTGGAGGAGACAAATATCTAAACCATATCAGTTGGCATTAATTTTGTCCTCATTTCATAAATAAGGAAACTGAAGTGTAGAGAGACTGAGTTTTGTTTTATTTCCCCCAGGACTTCTTTTTCTTTGAGAGGAGCCAGGAATGAATCCAGGTGTTCTGAATTGCAGCTCAGGATTCCTTCCACTAACTCAGGATGCTGCTCAAAGCCAGGCCCTGAGGTTAACATAACAGATCACAGAGGAAAGCCATTAGGATGAGTAAGGTAGAACTTACAATAAACCAAGAAAAACGAAGGGGGTAACTTGTTGAATGAAACATGTAATTAAAGGCAAAGTAGAATAGATCTGTTTAAGAGATACACCTCTCTGGAAATCTCACACCACATGATAGAATTATTCTGGAAAAAATTAGGATGAAAGAAAGGAGGGAAGACTTAGGGAATTATCATTGAAATATGCTAGCGAGGCCTGTACTAGGAAATGGATGATGAGTTCCTTACACAGGCAACAAAATGGTTAAAAGGCATCATCTGGGTTGGAGATATCACATTCTGCCCATCACTGTTTGGATTTTAGTGTTTTATGTCTCATAAGTCTAGACCCTCTCAATCCCAATACACCTTTTACTTGTTGCTCTTCATTTTAGGTTTTTCCTAGTTATTTTGCTATGTGATCTTTGGAATCAATTGTCTAGCACCAGAAAAGAACCCTTTTTGGCATTCAAATGTTATACATTTATAGAAAACTTGGGAGAATTGAGTTTTTTTCTGAAGCTGAGTCATCCTAAGCATTTGTTCTTACCAACTTCTGTGTTATTCAGGAGCATCTTAGATTTTTCTTGTGCATGTCTCATGCATTTCTTGTTAGGTTTCTTTCTTAAAAAAAAAAACCTCTCGTTATAAATGAGATTTCCTTTTCTGCTGTATCTTTTATAAAGGAACTATGTATAGAATTAAGAAACTGGACCTTACATTTGTATCTTACACAGCTATCATTTTCAAATTCTGAAAATTTGAAAATGGTCTTATTATTTTTTGGTCTTATTATTCCTTTTCACTCCTAAAAATTATTGTGTGTCCTGAAGTGTCTTTGCTTATACAAGTTTTATCTATTAGCATTTATCAGACTCAACAGTAAAACCAAGGACTGTTTAAATATTTATTTTTTCATGTAAGATAACAATAGGACACCAATCACTTAATAAAATAATCAGTGTAATTTTAATGAAAAATTGGCACATTTTCCAAAGGAAAATTAGCAGGAAGAGTGGAACTGTTTTATACTTTTGCAAATCACTTTAATCATAAGCTTACTAGAAGGCAGCTCCATTCACCTATCTCTTTCTCCATTCAATTCCTTTGCTATATACATGTCATCACAATATCTGGGAAAATCTACTGTATATTTCTGAGAACAAGGCAGTGATGGCTTCCGATCTTTATGGAAATAATTTTGATCTTGCAGAACCCCTGAATAAGAACCCCTATTTTAGTGTATTTGTTTTTACAAGTAGAAATGATTGATAAAACTATTTTCTAAAGCTTTTTATACATTTTTGTCCTTATATCTGTTAGTAATATGTGAATTCTATGAATAGATGTTCTAATGTTGAGTGATCCTTGAAATCCCAGAATAAATAAACCCTACTTGGTCATGTCGTGTTATTTTCTTAATGTGATATTGGATTTTGTTTGTATGTTGATTTAGAATTTTGACATGCATATTCAAAGGTGAAATTGGCGTGTACTAGGCTTCTTATTGATTTCTATAATAAAAACCTGACTATAAAGAATGGTAATGTTATGGATTTTTGGCATACTCTTCCATGATTTCGAAAAGTCTCATGCAAAATTTATGTTATTTCTTTAATCTAAAGATATCCAGTGAGACAGAAGTTGGGGAGGGCAACATTGTGTCAAGAGCTAAATGCCCGAATGATGGATTACATAAAAATTCTCACTTCTCTTCCCACTCCTGCCACTGTGCTTAGGCTCTCTCCATTTATATTTTCCCTGCCTCAGATACAAAGACTTCAAGATAACTCACACAGCTATGACAGTTTTATGTGATGTAGTGTTCAAGGGATGCAACTGCAGCTAAAAAGATTTGGCTCAAACACCAACTTCCTTCTTGAGTGAGATTTTACTAAATGCCTCCAAGTCTCAAACTTCTCATTTGAAATGGGAAAAATAAATACTTACCCTACACGACCCTTGAGAACACATGGAAATAATATTTGTACATTGCTTAGGACAGTACCTGGCACACAACCCTTGTTCAGTAATTGGTAGCTGAAGTTATTTTAGCAATCATGCTTTTAAAAGGAGATGAGGAGGTGGGTAAAAAGGTTAGCAGATAGCTATGAACTGGTATAATCAGGAAAAATACTTTTGGGGATCAGAAGAGTTGGAGTTGAAGTTTGAAGGTTAAGTATATTAGTTATCTATTGCCGTATAACAAATTATCCCAAAATTTAGCGGAATAAAACAACAAATATTCACTATTTTACACAGCTACTGAGAGTCAGGAATCCAGGAGTGGTTTTCCTGGTGATGCAGGCTCAGGTTCTTTCATGAGGCATCAGTCAAGCTGTTGGCCAAGGCTATGGTCATCTGAAGGGGCTGATGGTTCACTTCATTCACATGGTGGTTTGCAGGCAGCTTCAGTTCCTGGCCACATGCACCTCTCCATAAGGATGTCCAAGACAGTTTCCGCCATGTCATCCCAAAATAGAAAGATAGCCCCATGTCAAAACCTCATGTTTGTATATCCTAATCTCATAAGTGGTATGTCATCTCTTCTGTCATAGTTTATTGGTTACACAAACCAACCCTGGTGCAGTGTGGGAGGGGACCACACAGAGTGAGAATACCAGCAGAAGGAGGTCAATAGGGACTGTTATGGAGGGTACTCACCACAGTAGAATCTGGGAAAATAGAATTTGGAAAGGGTGGTGGAAAAAATAAAACTAGGTTAAGCCCTAGCATGAATGAAACCCTTCCCAGTGAAGAGGGTGACCTATGCAGATGCTGCTGGAACCACCTTACAGTAACCTGTAAGCAGGAGGAAGAGAACAAAGCCCTAGATCAAGAGGGGAATAAGGGGATAATCCTGTATACTCCTCACAGCTGTGGCGCATGAGTTCTTTGCCAAATCTCCCTCCTAAACTAAAGAATGTCTCTCACCACTCACTTATATTTTAGGTTAACTTCCACAATATTTAAGCAGAGCAAATCATCTCTTTCATAATATTAAGGAAAAAAACTTTTGAGATGAACATGAAAGTACTTTTTATGAATGATTTTTATACTGGGAATGACATGGTAAATATGAGGTAGTAACTGTTCCCCATAAGAAGACAGAGACTAGGCTTCACTTGTCCCTGACTCTGTATTTAGGCCTCAGTCAAGTACCAGGAACACAGCAGACACTCAATGGATAGATTTTGAATTCATGAATAAATTAATAATTCTTGATTTCCCTCATCCTATCTACATCCTTTTGGATGACATTAAATACATACTGACTTAGTTTCAAAAGCACACAGATTTTTCTTTTCCACGGGGCTCCAATATTTGAACCAACCAAGGCAGCAGTGGCCAGAGATGAGGCAACAGGACTTTGTCAGTTATCGAGAAGCTTGTCAATTTCCAGCATTGTCCCTTTTACTGTTCGAGCTACTTCTCTCTTCAGGATACATTACTCTAAAACACATGTTAAATGCATGCCACCTGGATTTCTTTCTACAAAATGTAAGAGAACAATAATGCATGTGGATTACTATCGATGACAATAACATTGATTGCCTGTGTAGCAGTTTCTGGTGGCAAAAGCCTTTTAGATTTATCATACCACTTATTCTTTACAATGACTTCGTGGGGTGGGTAACTATTTTCCTTAATTAACAAATAAGAGAAAGCAAGACTCTGAAGAGTTGGGTTTTGTTGGTTTTGATATGGTTAAGAGTCAAATCCCTAATGATGACTGAAAACCTAGCATTTTCTCCAAAACCCCATGTGATCTCTATTGCATAGGATGCAAACTTTGTCAATTCATAAGACACAGCAGGATATTATATCGCACCAGGACCGGCTTTGTGCATGTTAACTAGTTTTTATTTCTTATTAGTGAAATGATTAATTGAGTTTTTTATGTATTAAATGGTCTATTGCACCTTGCATGTCTACTTGAACTCTGAGGCAAAGGGCAGTATATGTCCATTGTCCCAACATCTCTGAGAGGCGGCTACATATTATCAGCCATGCTAGGCTGCTGGAAAGGAGTCACAGCATGGATTGTGTCAAGTAAATGCAACAGGTATAAATATCCCTTAGAAATGTTCATGTCTACCTCTGGGTTTGAGCCAGCAGGTATAGTATTCTATAGATTTCAGGGAGGTTGCTTTTTAATTTTGTAACTGATGTGCAATCCACATGCATAATTTCATGTGCTCATCTGGAGCTTAAGCTGTAGGAGAACCCTAATATTTTCCCTAATATTTCCCTTGGAAGATATCAGTTACATACCTATTTTAATCTTTGGCATTGTCAGTTTTGTGGTGTTCATGAGAAACAAATTAGGTTGAAATCAATAGGAACTGTGCAAGCTTTTTGTTCTTAAGTTCAAATCAGCCCATACTCATGATGCTGTCTTTCCTATCAATAGTCCATGATCTCATTACTGATACCTTGAGCTGTTTTAGAAAATCCAAAATGTGTTCATCCAAATTTAAATATTTCTTTTGTGCTCTGAAAATGGAACAGCATTTCTGTCTATTATTCCCATCTGTTCCTTTGGATTGAAAAATATTTTGACAATCTGGCTATCACAAGCCGCTATGAGTGAAACTGTTCTTTTTTGCTTCCTGGCTATATCTTTCATCTTCTGTCTGCTCTTTCTATCCCTGAATAGATTTGTAGATACAGTGTCCTATTATTATGTAATATCTGATGCTATTTATGTGAGCCATGGGTAGAATGAGAATAAAAACTGCTTCCCCTATTATTAAGTTGGTGCTTTTATCCCTTGTGGATTGGCGACTTTTCAAAATCATGAGCCCAGATTTCTGTCCTGTTTCTTCTGAAATGATGAGGATGTGGATAGGGGTTGGGGTGATGATAGCAGGAAGGTCTTAAGAGCCAACAGCTAACTCTCAGGGAAGTGGATAGAGGATAGTATTGATCTCAAGTACTGATGGTATCTTGCATAGTTGTGGGTGTCTGGGCAGGTGTCGGGGAGGGAAGGGGAGCATCTAACCCTGATACTCTATTGAGAAGCCAGCCTCTTGGGCCATTCCTACTATAGCTGAATTTCTGTTTGCCAGTAGTTTAAATATAGACAAGGAAGGGGAGAAAATGGGGCCAAATGTTAACAATAGGAGAACCTGGGTAAAGAGTCTATGGGAGTTCTTTAAACCACTCTTGCAATCCTTGTAGGTTTGAAATCATATCAAAGCGAAACTAAGATTTAAAATGTGTACAAACACACTCAGGCATGCACGTGCACACAGGCTTTGAGGGGCTGGCTGAGCTAACAACATGGGCTCAGTCTGCCAGAACCCTGACGGGACCAGCATGGACTCTGATTTCACAGAGAGCAGTCATTATTTGAGCTTGTTTTTTTTCCCTGTTCATTTGCTTTTCCCCAGATGCACAAATTGTATTTTTAAAAAAGAAAGAAAGAAAAGATAGGCTGTCTTCCCTTAATAGGACATCAGCTATCTTCTTCAAATGAATTTTCTCTTTCCTGAGAAAGACAATTAAATTAAAATTAAAAGCAATCTGGATTAATTTAAAAGATAGCAAATCCTCTCTCAAATACAAAAAACTCTAGATTTCTCCTCAGCTCTGCTATTTCCCTCACAATAATTGCATATACCTCCTCACAATCAATAACTGGATTTTTTCAAAACAAATTACATTTCATTAAGAGAAAACTCAACATAAAGATATGTGTCAGGCCGGGCATAGTGGCTCATGCCTGTAATCCTGACACCTTGGGAGGCCAAGGCAGGAGGATCACTTGAGGTCAGGAGTTGAAGACCAGCCTGGGCAACATAGCAAAACCTCATCCCTACAAAAAATACAAAAATCAGCCAGCCATGGTGATACACACCTGTAGTCTCAGCTACTTAGGAGGCTGAGGCAGGAGAATCACCTGAGCCTAGGAAATTGAAGTTACAGTGAGCTGAGATCACACCACTGCATTGCAGCCTGGGCAACAGAGCAAGACCCTGTCCCAAAAAAAAAGAAAAAAGAAAAAAAGATATTTGTCCTTACATATGTTCATTCTTTCTTTCTTCTTTCTTTTTCTTTCTTTCTCTTTCTTTTTTTATTTTTATTTTTATTTTATTTTTTTGAGATAGAGTTTCGCTCTTGTGCCCGAGGCTGGAGTGCAGCGGCATGATCTCAGCTCACTGCAACCTCTGCCTCCTGGGTTCAAGCAATTCTCCTGCCTCAGCCTCCCAAGTAGCTGGGATTAAAGGCACCCGCCACCATGCCTAGCTAATTTTTGTATTTTTTTAGTAGAGATGGGGTTTCACCATATTGGCCAGGCTGGTCTAGAACTCCTGACCTCAGGTGATCCACCCGCCTAGGCCTCCCAAAGTGCTGAGATCACAGGCATGAGCCACCACGCTTGGCCACATATTTTCAAATGTTAGCAGTTACCCCTTATGAGAAAAAGAAAAAAGAAAAAAAGAAAACTGCCATTAAGAAAATGGAACTCCAAAAAAGAAAGAAAGAAAGAAAAAGGAAGGAAGGAAGGAAGGAAGAAAGAAAGAAAGGAAATGCAACTCCAACGTATTGGTCTGGCTTGATATATCAGAAGAACTTTGAAGTGAACTGAGTTTTACACTCTTGCCTCCACACTTACCCTATATTTATTCCCCCCCCAAAATGCTTACCTTTTTAAAAATTAAATCTGATATTTGGCCTAAAATTACTAAAATTTATTAGCTTTTTGCTTTTCCTCCATTCAGTATAGTTCAACTTGTTTACTTTCATAAGCAACTTCCTCAAATACTGACAAACAGCCAGGCGCAGTGGCTCACACCTGTAATCCCAGCACTTTGGGAGGCCAAGGCAGGTGGATCACCTGAGGTCAGGAGTTTGAGACCAACCTGACCAACATGGTGGTCTCTACTAAAAATATAAAAATTAGCTGGGCATGGTGATGCATGCCTGTAATCCCAGCTACTCGGGAGGCTGAGGCATGAGAATCGCTTGAAACCGGGAGGCGGGGGTTGCAGTGAGCCAAGATCTTGCCACTGCACTCCAGCCTGGGTGACAGAGTGAGACTCTGTCTCAAAAAAAAAAAAAAAAATTCCTGACAAACATAATCTGAAATCATAGAAGAACCAGTCCCTTGCTTCTATGGGATTATTTTATTGATGTCAAATTATACTGCTAATAATACTAATACTAAGGGAAACTAATATGTGCTTTGCATATTCTGTGTGTCAAGAACTGTGCTGACCCCTTTTACGTGCAGTATTTCATACACTGAGGAGGTTGGAACAATTTTTATTGCACTCGCTCTGAAAGAAGAGACACCAAGGCTTAAAGAAGTTTCTACTTTTCCAAGAATCTTAACTAGTTTGTCATCATGTTATTTGTCTTTTTTAGGTATGATTATTAACATGTTTTAAAAGTGGCATGGTCCTTTAAATAAATGACTTATTCAAAAATTTTCTTTCAAGTGTGATGCAGATGGAGGTATTTTAGGGGAAAGGAGGCAACAAGCATTCGAGCTAAGGTTGAATGACTCTTGTCGTAGAAGTTGCCAGAAGAAATCATGAATTGGATGCTAAGTTAGACCAGATAATATTTATATTCTCTTCCAAGGTTTGAATCTTTGATATGCTTCAGTGAAAATTAGGTTCATAGTGACTAATCTATATAGTTTAGAGAATGCTTATGAAACTCATATTAGATGATGGTTATAGTTGAAAAATGTCAAAGTACTGCACAATAGAAGAGGCGTTATTAGCTTTATCTTTTCTTAGTTTATATCTTGAATCCAGGTTTTTCTCATATGGGGTTTTAATCTTCAGCTCCATAATACAGCCCAGTGGAGATGTGCTGGTTGTATAATATGGCTCAGTTGTGTTGTCTGAACTCCGCTGTGCCATTGCACACCCGGGTAAAGAAATGCATAGGGGCACAGATTTTGTTTGTCCTTGGATATTTGTAGGTCAAGATGGGAACCGCTTTAAACAAAGTTATAAAGGCAGGGACAGAGAGGCCTGCTCTATTCTCATCTTGACTTCTCTAAAACTGAGGCTTTGTAAGTTCCCAGTGTCTTCCTGCTTTTTAACTACTTAACCCCCATCAAATCTGGAAGCAATCTGCTATTTACACTTATCAACTGATGGGCTAATCACATTGCACAGGAAAAGAACATTTGAGCTAAATTTTTCTGCACTAGAAATGTTTCTTTTAAGGCTAACTGAAGAATTGGAGTATTTGTTTCCTGTTAAATAAATGTATGATAATAATGAGAGGTGATGATCAGTCGGCCAAGAGGTTAAGTTATAGGTACCAACATTCTCAAGCACACACAAATGCACACACACACACATACACACAAGCAAACAGAAAATAAAACTCATTTTGTATTTTTAATAGATGGGTATGTTCAAAAAGTCTTTCACATTCATTCATTCAATAAACATTCATTGAGCACCTACTAGGTACCAGGAAATTTCAGACTCCAGTGACAGATACTAAACAAGACATAGGAAGTCCCTGTATTTGAGGAATTTACCCCTCAGTGGTGAAAGACAGAGAAAACAAACAAGTGTAATGTGCAAAAACCCTCCAGGTGGAGGTAAGTGATATGATAAAAATAAAAGCAAGGTGATGTGATCGAGAGGGACTACATAGTATTTGGAGAAAGAAGTAGCATCTAGTACAGAGAAAAGGGCCTGGTACACAAAGAAGGCCAGTGAGGCCGGGCGCAGTGGGTCACGCCTGAAATCCCAGCACTTTGTGCAGCCAAGGTGGGTGGATGATGAGGTCAGGAGTTCAAGACCAGCCTGGCCAACATGGTGAAACCCTGTCTCTCTACTAAAACTACAAAAATTAGCTGGCATGGTGGCGCATGCCTGTAGTCCCAGCTACTCGGGAGGCTGAGGCAGGAGAATCGCTTGAACCCAGGAGGCGGAAGTTGCAGTGAGCTGAGTTCATGCTATTGCACTCCACCCTGGGCAATGGAGCGAGACTCCATCTCAAAAAAAAAAAAGAAAAGAAAAGTGTAACACCTCGTAGAGCATGGCAAGGTGTTTGCCTTTTATCCTGAGCATGACGAGAGCCCTTTGGAGGTTTGACGAGGAGACCGATGTGATGTCGCTGTAGTTTAAAAAGGTGACTCTGGCTACTGTGTGGAGAATAACTTGGGGAAAGGGAGGACAAAGCAAGAGAGGAATTAGAACAAATAAGAAGGCTGTTGTGATAGTCCAGATGGGAGATCATGGCAGCTTGGAGCAGGGTGGTAACAGTGAGGGTGGAGGGAAGCCAGTAGGTTCGGGGTGTATTTGGAGGTAAAGTTTGCATGATGCGCTGATGAATCAAGTGTGGGAAGTAAGGGGAAAAGAGGGCTTAGTGATGCCTCCTTGGTGATGGCTTGAGTCTCTTGATGGATGGTTGGAGGCACTCACTGAAAGGCAGAAAACCAAGAAAAGAATAGGTAGGAGGGGAGAGAAACTGAGAGTTCTGGCTTGGACACTTTATCCTTTTTGGGAAACTAAACCAAAATTAGCAATGAATCTGGCAGGCTTTTTCCAAAAGAATCTGGGTGTAGACAAGAGAGTGCATCATTGTTCACTCAGGATCTGGGGAGATGCAACCCAAGAATGCTGCCCTTCACCTCAGTTAACTTTTCTCCCCACCCCTCGGAGCACAGAACAAATTTCTAGCTCTCAGTATGCCATCCTCTTTCTTAGAACTCCAGATAAATGTTTGATGTCATCTACTTCTGACCCCCTTTAATTGGCTTCTATGATATGTATGTACTGATAAGTTTTCCTAAATATATCATGAGAACTTGTCCACATTTTATTTGTTACAGTTTTGAGACTTTTTCTTACCTCTCATATCTTCAAGTCTAATTCTATCCAAAACTCAGCCAAGAAATAAACTCAAAAAGTCTTAACCGAAGTAGCTGTTTAAACTCTCACACTCTAACCGTGTGCTTTGATCGGTTCATTCGCTAAAATGTGAGACCCTGTGGCAAAGGAGCATTTGTATAGTTTTCTGATCCACATCAGAACCAAGCAACGAATTAGAGAATAATGAGATGCGCTGGAGTCAAGGATGCTGAGAGCAGCAAAAAGTGACAGCTAACTGGGATAAGGCAGAGGAACTAAAAATGGCATAAAATCACATAAAAGCTCAAAAGGCATTAGGAGTTGGGATCATCTAGCCTCATAGGCATTGCTGTCTTAAAGACAGCAAAATAGGCCGGGCACAGTGGCTTACGCCTGTCATCCCAGCACTTTGGGAGGCCAAGGCAGGCGGATCACGAGGTCAGGAGATGGAGACCATCTTGGCCAACATGGTGAAACCCCGTCTCTACTAAAAATACAAAAAAAATTAGCCTGTAATCCTAATCCTGTAATCCTAAAGCTAATTAGGAGGCTGAGGCAGGAGAATGGCGTGAACCTAGGAGGCGGAGCTTGCGGTGAGCCGAGATGGCGCCACTGCACTCCAGCCTGGGCGACAGAGCAAGACTCTGTCTCAAAAAAAAAAAAAATAATAAAAAATAAGCATTGTCCTCAAATAATCACGACCTCAAATCATCAAGAAAGACTCTGTTGTTTTGGATATGATTAAGTAAGAATGCGAGGATGCATGGGAATTATTTTAAAAGATTTTTTTTCCCTAGCACTGAAAATAAAATTTTGGCTCTTAGCAATAAATATGAAATCTAGAAAAGAACTTTATGTAAAAATCTCTTTTCTAACACCACTACATCTTTTTCTCTTTTTGGAAATCAAGTTGAATGCAACAGAGTATATCTTTGAAATTAATCTTCTTTACAGAGATTTTGCTAAACCGAGGTATGTGTTATGGCCTTTCTCTGTATGTGTGTCCTGTAAAGGGAGGGCTCTGGTCTGAACATTTGTGTCCTCCCCAAATTCATGTGTTGAATTCCTAACCTCCAAGGTGGTGGTATTAGGAGCTAAGATCTTTGGAAGGTGATTAGGTCATGAAGGTTCTTTCCTCTTGAATGGGATTAGTGCCCTTACAGAAGAGGCCAAGAGAGAACTATTATGCCTTCCACCATGTGAGGAAACAGCAAGAAGGAACCTTCTATGAACTGAAAAGTGACCCTCACCCAACACAAAATCTTTCACTGCCTTGATCTTGAACTTCCCAGCCTCCAGAACCGTGAGAAATAAATGTCTATTGTTTATAAGCCACCTGGTTTATGGTATTTTGTTATAGAAGTCTGAAGAGACTAAGACAGGGAGATGCACCCCTTTTCTATTTGGGAACTTATGATTTAGGAGCCCCCCATATCCTTTGTGATTCAAAGCTATTGAATTCAAGGCAGCTATTGTAATTCAAGGTTAATTCCAATATGTGATGATTTTCACAAACTTATTTCCTAGTTGTCCCATTGCTATCTGTTGTAAAAATTATTATAAGCCCTTGAATTTACTGTGAGTTATTGATGCTATATGAAATTTTATTTGGTTCTCTTTAGCCTTTACAGCATACCATGTAAGTCACCAGTACTAACAATAGCACTGTGTAAAAAAATAAAGATTGTTTTCTCCAGTTCAGTAGCTAGTTCATTTTCCTACTTTTTGGCACCTTACCTTTACATTGGGGAAATTTATGTTGTCACCAGAGACATAGCCTAGATTTCATGTCTTAATTTCTGCATTCAAGAAACATGTTAAGTGTTAAAGTAAAAATGTTTAAGGTGTTTGATGACCCATTTAAGCCCACAGACCAGGAATCCTAAAATTCTGTGTTGCTACTCACCCTCCCACCAGTGAAATACCAGAGGAACAGTATAATGCAAATCAAAATGCCAGTTCAATTATGGGTATAAAAGTACCCAATATGCCAACCCAGGATATAGAACAAGTTGGAGCACACATGTTCAGTCTCAAATCTAAGAGAGACTTTTTTTCTCATCCAATTGAAACTCTTTGCATGTCCTCACACTGCAGCCAGCTTTTTGTAGGGAAATAATCATAGAAAGGGAAGGACATCAATCGCTCATGTGCGCACAGCAGGCCAGGTGTCACAGGAAAGTGTCCACGCTTACTTGCCTCAGGCCTTTTGTTTCTTCCTGCAGGAGCCCCTATTTTAAAGATAATTATGACAACTTAGCTTCTGCCCAGTGATTTTTTAAATTTCAAAGCAGTTCTAACTGGGAACATTTTAGGTAATTTAAAGCTGAACATTAAACATGGGTAATCCCAGTGACCACAAAGAAGCTATAGCAAATGTACTGGTTAGAGTCCTCTTGGTTGCTCTTTGAGAATGGTACCTGCAAGGCAATTCCTAGTCTATAAAAAGGGAATGTCATTGAAGGATGCACAGATAGTTGCTAGATGTGAGGCTGAAGTGGTCTGATTTCAATTAGAGCAGATTAATAGAATGTGGTAGGACTACAGAAAATTTAGGAAAGTGTAGCAGAGACTCTGAGTAATGAGAGACAGCTCCACCAAATTCTCAGGAATTGATCATCATGTTTTAATGTTGCAGATTCAATGATATGTTCATACCACCAGTGATAATGCAAAAACGCAATGGCACAAAAGGACAGGCCAAGGGCAAATGATTATACAGGCATTTGTGTTGGAAATGCTCTGATTCGTGATCTTCATAGAGACTGCATAAAGAGTTGCATTCCCTTTGGAGACTTCAGCAAATACAAACATTGTATGTAAATACAACCCAGGGATCATTTTGGATTCCTCTCTTCTTTTCACAGGCTTTCCCATCTCAGCAGATGGCATGGGAGTCATCCTTGATATTCTGTTTCCTTCAGCATGCCCACAGACAAAACCCATCAGCAAGTTTTGTTGATTATAGCTTCAAAATGCATCCCAGATGCAACCACTTCACATCATCTCTAGTGCTGGCAGGCAAACCCACGTCACCATAATCTCTTGCCTGAATAATTGCAGTAACCTTCAAACTGGGCCCCTTGCTTCTGCTTTGCCCTGTTCCCACCCTGATAATCCACTCTCAAAGTGCTCAATATTCTTGAATGAGTTGTTTGTTTGGTTGCTTTTTAATCAATTTTATTTTTTAGAGCAGTTTTGGTTCACAGCAAAATTAAGTGGAAAGTACTGAATTCCCCAGCAACCTCTCCCCGGCCCACAGCCGCCCCCATTATCAACCCCCCACCCCCAACCCCACCAGAGCGGTACATTTGTTGTAATCGATTAACCGACACTGATATATCATTATCACCTGCACTCTGTAGTTTACATTAGAGTTCACTGTTGATGTTGTACATTCTATGGTTTTGACAAATGTATAATGACATGTATTCACTATTGTAGTGTCATACAGTTTCACTACCCTAAAATTTCTCCGTGCTGGGCCTATTTATTCCCAACCCTTGGCAACCACTGATCTGGAAAAGGCAAAACTATTTGTCTCCATCGTTTCGCCTTTTCCAGAATGTCATATGATTGGAATCGTACAATCTGTGGCTTTTTCAGATTGGCTTCTTTCACTTAGTAATACGCACGTAAGGTTCCTCCTTGTCTTTTTGTGGCTTAATGGCTCATTTCTTTTTAATGCTGAATAATATTCCATTGTCTGGGTGTACCACAGTTTATACATTCACCTACTAAAGGACATCTTGGTTGCTTTGAAGTTTCGGCAATTATGAAGAACAAGCTGCTAGAAACATCCGTGTACAGGTTTTTTTGTGAACATAAGTTTTCGACTCAATTTGGGTAAATGCCAATGAGGATGATTGCTGGATCGAATGGTTAGAGTGTTTTGTAAGAAACTGCCAAACCGTCTTGCAAAGTGGCTGAACCATTTTGCATTCCCACTGGCAATGAATGAGAATCTCTGTGGCTCCACATTCTTGCCAGCAATTGGTGTTTTCAGCGTTCTGGATTTTGGCAATTCTAATAGGTGTGTAGTGGTATCTCGTTATTTCAATTTGCGTTTTCCCAATGACATACGATGTGGAGCATCTTTGTATAAATGTATTTGCCATCTGTATATTTTCTTTGGTGAGGTGCCTGTTCAGATCATCTGTCCATATGTTAATTGGGTTGTGGTATCTTCTTATTGTTGGGTTTTAAGAGTTCTTTACTTATTTTGGATAATAACCTTGCCTATTTTTTTTCCAGTTTGTGGCCTGTCTTCTCATTCTCTTGACAGTATCTTTCACAGAACAGAAGTTTTTAATTTTAATGAAATCCAAGTTACCAATTATTTCTTTCATGGATTGTGCCTTCGATAGGGTATCTAAAAAGTCATCACCCAACTCAAGGTCACCTAGATGTTCTCCTGTTATTTTCTAAAAATTTTATAATTTAGCATTTTACATTTAGGTTTATGATTCATTTTGAGTTTGTGTGTGTGTGTGTGTGTGTGTGTGTGTGTGTGTGTGTGGAGTGTAAGGTCTGAATGAGTTTTGAAAAATAAATCATATGAAGTCACTCTCCTGTTTAAAACTCTCCAGTGGCTTCCAATTATGTTTAGAATTAAGCCAAAGTCGGGCTGGGCGCGGTGGCTCAAGCCTGTAATCTCAGCATTTTGGGAGGCCGAGGCGGGCGGATCACGAGGTCAGGAGATGGAGACCATCCTGGCTAACACGGTGAAACCCCGTCTCTACTAAAAATACAAAAAAATTAGCTGGGCGTGGTGGCGGACACCTGTAGTCCCAGCTACTCGGGAGGCTGAGGCAGGAGAATGGCGTGAACCCGGGAGGCGGAGCTTGCAGTGAGCCGAGGTCACGCCCCTGCACTCCAGTCTGGGCGGTGGAGCGAGACTCCATCTCAAAACAAACAAACAAAAAAAACCTTAAAAATAAAAATAAAGAATTAAACCAAAGTCCTTACCACCTTATCATGGTCTGTGACTTCTACTCAACCTGCCCACTTTCCACAGCTTCAGGCTGACTTCGTATGATTCTGTTTCCTTCTGCCTCTTGGATGTGTGGAGTTCATTCACAGCATACACTGAAGCAAGATATCATACCCAAGAGTCTGTAGCTAGCAAATGAGGCCTAATAGGAATCAAATGAGTAAATACTATAGAGAAGAGTGAATGGAAGAAATTTGGAGCAATTTCCTCAAACAACTTTCTTCAGTTTGTGCGTAGGACTTAGTAAGTAGATGGGTCGGGAGGAGGAGGGCTGAAAGGATCAGAGGCTGAATCAACTGACAACTGCCTAAGAAAATGAAGAAAAGCTTGAATTGGATCTTTAAAAAAAGAATCCTGGCTAGGCACAGTGCTTCGCACCTGTAATACCAGAGCTTTAGGAGGCTGAGATGGGAGGACTGCTTGAGGCCAGGAGTTGGAGACCAGCCTGGGCAACGGAGCAAGACCCTGTCTCTACTAAAAATTAAAAATAAAATATTAGCCAGACATGGTGGCACTCACCTGTAGTACCAGCTACTCAAGAGGCTGAGACAAGAGGATTGCTTGAGCCCAGGAAGTCAAGGCTATAGTGAGCTGTGATTGCACCACTGCATTCCAGCCTGGGCCAAAAAAAAAAAAGTCCTGAGACTGAACACTTTAAAATCTATAGTTACTTCATGTAAGTGAACACTTTAAAATCTATAATTACTTCATGTAAGAATAAGGGATCATTCTTACTGGGGTACTATGGATCATGCATGCAGTTTTTATAACTTGTACTGTATTACAAAGCGGTGACTCTTTTTCATTAATTTACTTCTATTTGAATTAATATATATACAGATGCTCCTTGACCTACAATGGGGTTATGTCCCAATAAAGCCACTGTAAGCCAAAAATATAGTAAGTCAAAAATGCATTTAATACTCTAATAAACTCACAGTAAGGGTGAAAAATTTTAAGTTGAGCCATAGTAAGTCAGGGACCATCTAAATACAGTAGCTCCCCCTTATCTATGGTTGCACTCTGTGGTTTCAGTTACCCACAGTCAACTGCAGTCCAAAAATATTAAATGGAAAATTCAAGAAACAATGCATAAGTTTGTAATTTCGTGCCATTCTGAGTAGCATGATGAAATCTCGTCTATCCCATTCTGCCCCACCTGGAACATGAGTCACCCCTTTGTCCAGCAGATCCACGCTGTCTGTGGTACCCACCTGTTAGGCACTTAGTAGTCTTCTAGGTTATCAGATCGACTGTCCTGGTATTGCAGTGCTTGTGTTCGAGTCACCCTTACTTTACTTCAGAATGACCCCAAAGCCCAAGCGCAGTGAGGCTGGCATATTTTATTATTTTATTATTACTTATTGTTGTTTTCTATTTTATTATTAGTTATTGTTGTTAATTTCTTATTGTTCCTAATTTATAAGTTAAACTTTATGATAAGCATGTGTATATATAAGAAAAACAGCATATATAGGGTTTGGTACTATCCGTGGTTTCAGGCATCTCTTTTGTGGGGGTGGGCAGTAGTAAAACATATCCCCCCAGGATAAGGGGGGACTATGCATATTTGAAACCTGAATTTTCCCAGAATCATGATTTTTTAAAACTTTCTAGGGTGTACTTGATGTCTTGCTATCAGCTCTATTTGATGGTGCATTTCTAATCCTCCACTCACCTGTCGTTTAGGACACTGTTCTCCCAGGTACACATCAGCTGCAGTGATGGAACTTAAACACAGCTGTTCTGTATTCCTCTCTCTCACTGTCGCTCTTCACCACAGGCTTTGCCGAGTTGTCTTGAACACAAGTGTACCTTCTGCTATAACTAACAAAAATGTACTATCGCATGAAAGGAACTAAATGGCATTTAGATGCTTTTACTTAAAATATCAATAATGAAACCAAAAACTCCAGCTTCTCTTTTGCACCTCATGAGGACACTCACGTAAATGTTATGACAGTAGTATTTCTCAATGATATGCTCCGTTTACTCCCTCAGGAGTGGCTTCCACAATGTTAAATCCTACTTTATAATAAATAACGTTATAATAATGTTGCAACCCAGCTTAGTTCGGTTGAAAAGAAATTCATCTTTGAATCACTAGAAATAACACAATTCTCTTCCAGGCTGATGTAAATAGCATTTCATTATTCCTTACATCCAACAATACTATGTGCTTAATACTGTATCCAGCAAATAGTATATATTTGAAGATTTTAATGGAATGTCTACTTGGTAATGGTAATGTTATTTATATCTTATTGGGAAGATAGATTTGTTTAGCTCTGCAGAAACCAATTTTACGAATTTCACGAAGGTCTGGTGCCAGCTAGTGGTACCTATTATATATGCATCAAAAAGATGATTGACTTTTTTTTAAATAACCAAAGACAACATGGTCTCATCGAGATTGAAAAATTGCTTAAAAATAACTTTTAAAGGAATAGTGTTTGCCATGTTGAGGAGAACCAACAGACTGTGCATAAAAATGGATGTCTGTCTTGGCCATGCACAGTGACTCATGCCTGTAATTCCAGCACTTCGGGAGGCCAAGGCGGGTGGATCACCTGAGGTCAGGAGTTCGAGACCAGCCTGGCCAACATGGCAAAACCTTGTCTCTACTAAAAATACAAAAAATTAGCTGGGTGTGGTGGCACCCGCCTGTAATCCCAGCTACTCAGAAGGCTGAGACAGGAGAATCACTTGAACCCAGGAGGCAGCGGTTGCAGTGAGCCGAGATTGCGCCATTGCACTCCAGCCTGGGCAACAAGAGTGAAACTCCGTCTCAGGAAAAAAAAAAAAAAAAAAAGGATGTCTGGAATGTTCTGTTGTCATGTAATGCTCTGTGCCAACTTCCACTTAGTCATTATGCTCCCATATTCTGATTATTCATGTGTCTGTCGTTTTTATTGTATCAGGAAGTTACTGGGATAGGGCTCGTGCCTTCATTTCTGTAACTCACCATTTGTCACAAGATCCGACAATTAGATGCAGAAAGAAATATTTATTGAATACATAAGAGAATTCAAGAAAAATTATTGCCATATTTCACTTACCACAGTGCATGACTTCTGAAAGCAGTTATTCAGGGGTTATCAGCACTGGGTCATGACCTTAATTATTCAGAAGTATTCCAGGCAACTTTGGGCCTCTAAGCTTTTTTAATCTTCAAGAATTTCCTAGTTGACTTAGATATCATAGATCTGTTGAACCATTAGCTGTCCCATGAGGCCTCATTAGAAATTACAGGGCCTCCGAGACAAGCATCCCAGATCCAGCTTACTATTTTAACCATTTAGTCATTAGTAACAAACTTTGAACTGGCAGATTTCATTTTCCTGGGATGGGAGCCGGGTTATAAAACATATCTTACCGTTCAGTCTCTAATGACATTTACTTTTAAAATCAATGCTTTCTTATTAATTTGCTGATTAGTGGTGTTAATAATTGGCTCAAGTGGGAATTTCAGATGTAAGCTAATGGTTCATTAATCAAATTTAAAAGGCCATCATCTTTTAAATATGAGGATGAAACTTCTAATTTCCTTCAGGACTGACAGTCAGATATGTTCCTCTGGGGAGGGGAATCTTTCCACTTTATGCCTTCAATGGTTGACACGATTTCCAGGGCCATTTGTTAATTATGACCCCTGGTATGAAGTAAAATTGATTTGGAATCCTAGCTCTTTATGGAAGGAGTTTAGAGTTCAAATTAGTTCAGCTTCCTCAGATGTATAAAGAAAATACAGTTTCTTTATTTTCTATAATTGACATAGTTTTCTCAGAAACCTATTTGAAGGGTAGGTTTCAACGCATGTGCTCTGCATGCCACCATAATTGAAATAGTTGGTTTAGATGACTCGGTCATTTGTGGATAAATGATTACATTTTCAGTTTTCTCGGCCTTTCTCTGCTGCTATCCAGGATTGGTTTGGAAGAGAGTTTGGGGTCTAGAGGTTTTGTTTTTACAGTCTTGTGCAGTGGGGCCAGAGGGCCAAGCACCCCCAGAACATCTTCCAGATCCTTGTCGATTTCTGCTATAGACAGGTTTGCATGTTGCAACAGGTACCATCTCATCACCTGGAACTCACTGCTGAAGTTTGTGTTTCAGACATCTGCTTCCAGCATAAAATCCCTGCACACTGCAGCCTTTGTCCCAACTTCAGGCTCCCATCCACCCACTATTCTTAGATCTTCTGTGCCTTTTACTACTGTGGCATGCAAGAAACTCCGGATGGCTTGACTGCCACATAAGAGGCTTGGGAAGCATTTTCTTAAGCTCATCTTTCTTGCTAACACCCATATGATATAAAATTCATGTTGGCTCGGATTGCATGTGGGGCTTCTTCTATGGGAATGGGACTGACTACTTCACAGGCTTCCTCATACTTGTCTGGGACTTTTTATTCCTCCCTATCACCTCTTCTTCTTCGAGTTTCTTCCACAGAGGAGAAAAATGAAACACCTGCTGAGCTCAGTATCTTACCTTTATCTTTCTTTGCCTCCAGGTCATGAAGAAACATGCTTTCCTTTTCCTGGATATTATATCCTAATTTTTCCCACCCCTTAACATATGGAAGAAAATCTCTATGACACATCTTATCATACTTGGCTCTTTAAAAAAAAGAAAAAGAAAGACAGAGAGAGACAGAATCTCACCCTATCACCCAGGCTGGAGTGTGGTGGCTCAGTCACAGCTCACTGCAGCCTCAAACTCCTCAAAGCAAGTGATCCTCCCACCTCAGCCTCTCCAAATGCTGAGATTACAGGCATAAGCCACTGCACCTGGCACTGTGCTTGGCTCCTGATATGTTGATAGGAGTTTAAAGAATTTTACTGCCTTCCCTTCCGTTATGGCTCAGGCTTAGGGATGGAAGGCTGCAAAGAAATAGAAATCGAATGGAAAGTGAAAACTCGATCCTTTAATGTTTTAAAAACCTTGTCTTTGTTACACCTACATCAGTGGTTGTGAACTCCGGCTGCAGATTAAAATCCCCGGGGGTCTTTTTAAAAAACAAATGCTTAGACCAACCATAAAAAAAAATCAAACCACAATATCACATACTCAGCAACCAGATGCTGGGAGAGTTTAGTGAATTGCTCAGTGTCACTTAGGAAATTAGTCCCACCCAGCTGGGTGCCCTTCCTCCCTCCTACACTGCCAAGCTGACCACTGTGCTGAACCAGTGATTTCTATTCCTAAATAGATATGCAAACCAAACTCATAATTTATTTAATGTTTGTAGTACAGTGTGTGTGTGTGTATCTGTAGTATATACATATTCTACAAAAAAAAATGTTTTCCTCATTTACTTCCTTATCTATTATAATATTATGGCGGAGTTTTGGCCCAATGGCTATACTAGCAGGAGATGGTTCTTTAAGGAAAGTGTCCTCTGTCCTCATTACACAATGAACTGATTCCCGTTACTGTAGTGAACAGCTGAGTCTGCCAATCACATCAGCTCTGCCTTTTTGCCCTTTCTTCCCAACCCCACCCCAACTCCACGGAAGACTTTTCCGTATTCACAGTTTCTCTGGAGTCACTTCTAAGGACATCTAATGCTTTAATTTCTTGCAGTCTGTGGGAAGAAATAGAGAAATTGAGCAGAGACATGCAACTTGATGGTTTGTTTGTTTGTTTGTCTGTTTTGAGATGGAGTTTCTCTCTTGTTGCCCAGGCTAGCGTGCATTGGCGCAATCTTGGCTCACTGCAACCTCCACCTCCTGGGCTCAAGCCATTATCCTGCCTCAGCCTCCAGAGAAGCTGGGACTACAGGCGCCTGCCACCATGTCCTGCTAATTTTTGTATTTTCAGTAGAGATGGGGTTTCACCATGTTGGCCAGGCTGGTCTTGAACTCCTGACCTCATGATCCATCCACCTTGGCTTCCCAAAGTGCTGGGGTTACAGGCGTGAGCCACCGCACCTGGCCGATGTTTTTTACTAATACCAGAGATCGTTAAATCCTGCACCAAAAGTAAAGGAAACACAGTCCATGTAGCCATTAACTTCTCATCACTTCTAAAGGATGTGTGATGTCTAAGCCCTTTCTACATTTAAGCTACTATGTATTTTTGAATCTCCTGTCTTCTCTGTTTCGTGATTCATGTTCTCTCCCTTCCCCTCTTCTTCCTCCCTCCTCCCCTCTCCTCCTCCAAATATACAAGGAGCTTGCATCTATTTGTTTCTGTACAACAGAACAATAAATCTGACAAATGAGACACCTGAGGTTGTCAGGAAGCTAACAGCAGGCTGCCTATACTTCATCAACCCCTCTGTTTTAAAGGGGTTCACCTGCCCTTAAGGAAAAGGAAGGTCAGGAATTTATCAGAAGAAGCATGGCATCTTATTTACCAGTTTCTTTCTCCATCTTTCACATTTTAACCATGAACTCCATTGCACATTCTGTCTATGGCAAACAAGGATTCCTAGTTGCTGGGTTTCACAATCCTTGTAAGACAGTTCATTCTGGGATGTGAGCTGGCTCAACTAAATGCCATTTTAGTCTTCCAGCCTGGGAAAAGCAAGGCACCCATCTAATAACAGCCTGTTTTTTTTTTTTTTTTTTTTTTTTGCAATGGAGTTTTGCTCTTGTTGCCCAGGCTGGAGTGCAATGGTGTGATCTTGACTCACTGCAACCTCCACCTCCCGGGTTCAAGTGATTCTCCTGCCTCAGCCTCCTAAGTATCTGGGATTACAGGCACCCGCCACCACGCCCAGCTAATTTTTTGTATTTTTAGTAGAGACAGGGTTTCACCATATTGGTCAGGCTGGTCTCGAACTCCTTACCTCAGGTGATCCACCCACCTCAGCTTCCCAAAGTGCTGGGATTACAGGCATGAGTCACTGCGCCCGGCCCAGCCTCACTTTTTATAAAGAGAGATCTCTGCGAGAGGCTGTCTGCAGAAAACCAGCAAGGGGTATCTCTTTGTCCAGGAGTGCCCTCACTCTGTCTGTCGGGTTTGTCGCTATACGTATTGACACCACTTTCACATGTGCAGTCCGAGTATTTCTTTTTCCTGTTTCTCTGGGAGTTATTTGAGGATAGCATCTGAAGGCTTTTAAGTGTGAAGAGTTAAGAAGTATCATGTCTTTTATGACTGGCTACTGCTGATGGGACTGGCTGTGGCCATCTAGAAAACACCTCCCTTGATTTGTGTCATTGGGGCATTTGCTCGGGCTCTGGAGAGCGAGCCATTCATGATTGTCCTGGTCAGAAATTTCACACCCAAAGATTCATTTGTCTCTCTGTTTTTCCATTCCCAGCCTGGATGTGTAAATACAACTGAAGTGGACATTAAGAAGTCATCCAGAATGAGAAACCCCCACAAAACACGGAAGGTAAAACTGTCATTTGTTGTGCTGATCTTGGTGATGGATTGCATTGTTTACAGGACGTCAGCCATAAAAACACTTTCTTCTCATGTCATGCAGTATCTTTCCCACTCTTCCCAGCCTTCCACAGCCCTCCCTTCCTCAAGAATAGCCCCACCCTAATGCTCAAGCACACCAGGGTCCCAAGACAGAGCGGTGGTCATGACTGACTGAGACGAGAGGAACAGGATTTCTAAGGAAATCATCTTTAGAAAACCTGATACTGATGAGAGAAGGGCATTTTAAAACCTGAGGAAAGGGGGACATCTAAAAGATATTTAATTCCAGAAAGAGTGCAGGGGCCCCTCTTAACACTAGAATTTTGTGATACAACCATAAGACAGTGGTTGTATTTCAGTGTTTGTTATCTGAGAGAATATCGGTGTGCAGGGTGTGGGGGAAGCTATTCTGAGTCCAGTGACATTTTAAATAACCCTTTGAAAATGCACAGCAATAGTTTCTACATATTTTTTAAAGCAACACGTACAACTAGAAGGCATTTTTATTCATTCTATAAAACACGCTTGATGTACACAAGAATTTCTGGCCTGTAGCAGTCGCTTTGAGAACACAGCTTATAGATTGGTGCTGCTGGATTAATACATTCCACAAAGTTCAAGGTCTTTTTTCTGTGGCCATTTCCTTAGTATTTCGTTAGCCATCGTGTTTTCCAGAGTCTGTGTCCCTGTAGTAAGCACTCAATATTTTTTTCTAGTCTTATTTTGTGTTGCCATTTTCTCCCATCCCTAGAAACATACCATCATGTTCAAAGGCCCCAATATGGTCCAAGTACCTTTTCTTTCTTTTAAGGCAGTTTACCTTGATGTTAGGATAAAGAAGCTGAAGCAAAGCACCACAAAACCAATTCGGATGCGGTGCTCAAATGCTTCTGCCCGTAGGAACTCTCCAAGAGAGAGGCGAAGCCAGACCAAAGCAAGCCTGTCTGGTCTGTCTCTCTGGTGGCTGGCCCAACTTAATTGCTTTCATCCTCTGCTCACAGCACATCCTGAGGGCACCAAGAACTATTTTTGCAGAACAAGATTCAAAAATGCTATCGGCTCTCCAAAAAGTGCATTAAGCCACCTCTCTCCACTTTCTGAATAGTGAAATTACTCTTCGAAATACTTTATTGGGTGTCCTGTTTCCCCCAACAGACCCTAACACAGACATGCTGTGATTCAGAAGAGAATGCATATGGATTAACAAGATAGCACCTAGACACAATAAAGTCATCATTTATACTCTCTCTTCGGCACCATATTCAGTATAGATCATCTTTCTCGTGTTTCACATGGCACCCTTCTTTTTGAACACTTGAGAAGCATTAGTTTACAATGTCGTTCTTTACATACCATCAGCCCTCATTTAATGATGAAAAGCCCATGAGGCATTGCAAGGTGAAATATTGTAAAGAAACAGAGTCATTGAGATCTAGCTCTCTTTGTCTCGATAACATCTAATTTCTTGTGAATCAGTAACAACAGAATGACAGGGCCTCACTCCAGAGCTGTCTAGCGCTAACATTTGCCAGAAGAAAACAAAAGTCCTGAAAAATCTGACAGCAAATAACAGGTATACCCTTATTTTCCACAGTTGGAGAAAACGGATTTTTCTCACCTTTTGATAAATGTAGCTTCTCACAGTCAGAAGTGTTCAATTTGCTAGAATCTTCGCAGATGATAATGTTATTTTACATGGAAGGTTATCCGACTCCAAGCCACATACTAATATTTTTTAGAAGTATCACCACTGATACTTTAG
Source organism: Homo sapiens (assembly GCF_000001405.40). Taxonomy (NCBI): domain Eukaryota; kingdom Metazoa; phylum Chordata; class Mammalia; order Primates; family Hominidae; genus Homo; species Homo sapiens. The sequence continues at coordinate 240,825,303 of NC_000001.11, read as the reverse complement.
CTCATAGTTGTTTAGGAACTGTAATGATCCACTGAATTAGCAAAATTAAGGAGTCTGTACTCTATGCCAGACATGTCCTGGGCTTTAGGTACTCCACAGTAAATGGGACAGTCAGGGCCTTGCTCCCCTAATTCATGGTCTCATAAGGGTGCAGGTGTTGAGCAAGGAGATAAATGTCTGTACATGGATATAAGTATATGATTTTGTTAAGCTTCATGTAGTCTGCCGGGGCCGCCTTAACAAAATGCCACAAACTAGGTGGTTTAAACAGTAGGAATTTGTTACCTCATAGTTACGGAAACTAGAAGTTCGAGATCAGGGTGGTGGCAAGTTCAGTTCCTGTGGAGTGTCTCTTCCTGCTTGGGGATGGCTGCCTTCTTCTCGTGTCCTCAGTGGCTTTTCCTGTGTGTGCATAGAGACAGAGAGAAAAACAAAACAAAACAACCAACTCTGGGGTCTCTTCCTCTTCTTAAAAGGACACCAGTTCTATTGTATTAGTTCCCACCCTATAACCCACCTAACCTTTATTTCCTCTTCACAGGCCTGATCTCCAAATATAGCTATGTTGGGGGATAGGGCTGCAACATAAGAATTTAGGGGAGGGGACACAACTCCGTCCATGACATATGACAAAGGGAGTGTACGTGATTCGTGCTTGTGATTGCCACTGCATTTTGTCAGTGAATACCTTGACAGCAATCAGCAAGCTGTTTCACCACCCTCTGAGGGGTCCACAGCTCTGTATCTGCGGAGCAGGTGACGCTGTGAGATCACAAACCACAGACAGAAATGGCAGAGGCCAGCCAGTTGCCCCTGGAAGCCACCCTTCCCTTCCGCCATAATTGAGCCGTCTCTGTAGCGCCTCCTCCTGGCTGTGTGGTCGGCCTCCATCTTTATACTGTGGCTGCTCAGGAAGTGGAAGCTATGGAACATGCTTAAACTTTGAAAGCAGATAATGCTCGTAGCAAGGAGAGCTGCTGTTCATTTCTTTGGGAGTGAGCTATAATAATTTTTCCTGTAATTACGTGCCGTGACAAGAATAAAGGACCCAGTAAATCCCTAAAGTAACAATCTAGCATAGGTGCCTGAAGAATATCAGAATCATTTCACATTTCATTTGGGAATGTTGTATCTAATTGTTGAATGTTTGACATGTTTATCAAATATAGGAAGCGAAGGCTTTGCTGTATGCATGATTTGAGATATGTTAAGAATCTAAAATTAGTCTATTTTCAAGTCTTTCTTTTTAATTAGAATATACTTTACTACAATATAAGGAAATAGGTAAAAATGTATTATCTCAAGGATCTGTGAAAGAATGATAATGTAGCATAGCCAGAAAGAAATCAGCCTAATCTAAGTAAGTTTGAAGGGGAACTGTCGGTCTGATGTTCTTGAGTCCGATACTAAAATTTTTACTGTAATAGATTCTGTATTAGCCAGAGTTCTCCAGAGAAACCGAACCAGAGACAGAGTGGGGGGCGGGAGGGGGGAGAGAGACAGAGACAGAGATTTATATTAAGGCATTGACTCCCAGGATTACTGAGGCTTGGCGAGTTCAAAATCTCATGGGGGAGGCCACCAGGCTGGAGACCTAGGGAAGAGTGGCAGTTCAAATCCAAAGGCAGTCTGGGGAGACACAGCTCTTGAGTCGCCGGGAAGCTTTTGTTGGGTTGGTTGCCTCAGGGACCCACCGCGGCGTGTCGTCTTGTCGCCAGGCCCCTGGTGCGCCCCCGCGGCAGGCAGAGCTCACGGCCATGTCCCCACCCCACCCCTTGCTGATCCAGGGTCCGGGCACCGCGTCGATGGCGGCTCCGTAGAACGCGCGGACCCGGCCGCAGCCCGTGTCCTGAGCGGACTGGACTATAACGTGAGGCATCTGCCCTGCCTCTGCCGGGCCCAAGTGGTGCGGGGCTTCGGCCGTGGCTCCAGGCCGCTGGGCATCTCCGCAGCTAATTTTCCAGAACAAGTAGTAGCTAATCTTCCAGTTGATGTATCCATTGGCATTTATTATGGTTGGGCCAGTGTCGGAAGTGGAGATGGCCTTTAGGTGGTGGTGAGCATAGGATGGACCCTCTACCACAAGAATACGAAGAAGTCCATGGACACGCTTATCCTGCATACCTTCAAAGAGGACTTCTATGGGGAAATCCCCAATGTGGCCATTGTTGGCTACCTCAGACCAGAAAAGAACTTTGATTCTTTAGACTCACTTATTTCAGCAATTCCAGGTGACATTGAGGAGGCTAAGAAACGACTAGATTTACCAGAACATTTGAAACTCAAGACAATTTCTTCCAGGTTTCTAAAAACAAAATGATGAATAGCCCCTGATGAAAAAAAATGTATTATTTATTCGTTCACTGTTTTCTAGTATTTCGGTGTTTATTACTATCCAGCCTCATCTTGGTTATATTTTAAAACTCAAATGTTTTCCTACAGCTGAAAATTAAACAGTACAGTGTAGTTACCATATCATGCTTCAGCTGTTAAATTAAGGCCATCGTATCATAGCACTAAAAAGATTCTTTTAAAAATCAATATTTAAAAAATATATATTGATTAAAATGTACCACTAGAAATGTATTACATGTCTTATGATGGAAGTGAAATGTATATAAGTATGGGTAAGAAGACAAATCACTAGTTTGAGATGAAAAGTGAAATTTTCATGGTAAAATACCAGCATGTATGTACTTGTATAGCTTGTACTTCTAAACAAAGAAGGCTTATGAAAGTAAATGCATTAAATAGAAGTTTAATAGTTTATCATAAACCTACAGGGAAGAAACCCAGACTTTGTATTTTTGATATTTTGTGCATTATTATTAGAAACGTGAAGATGTTTGTGAAATTTTGTTTTAGTCATTTTCTTTGAAGTCACATCATCGTACCATCTTCATTTTCGTACAGAGCTGCTTCAATTCTGCCATCTAGACATCCCCTGCCTGTTTTTCTGTTGTTGTTGTTTTTTAATACAGTAAAATAAGTGTTTTTCAAATCTGTACATCTTTTTGTGGGACAGCGCTTCTTTTTTAAGAGTAAATATCCTTGTTCTTCAAAACAACAAACAACAACAAAAAAGGCAGTCTGGAGACAGAATCCCTTCTTGCTCAGGGGAGGTCAGCCTTTGTTCTATTAAGGACTTCAACTGATTGGATGAGGCCCACCCGCATTGTGAAGGGCAAACTGCTTTACTCAAAGTCCATTGATTTAAATGTTAATCCCATCCAATAAACACCATCAAAGAAACATCCACAGTAATGTTTGTCCACATATCTGAGTACTATGAGCCAGCCAAGTTGACACAAAATTCACCACCACAGGCTGTATCCTTCTGTAGGACAATAGCTAGAGGGGTCCTAGGTCACAAAACCTGAGGGAAATGATAAGAGCATCTGCATGTATGTGTGATTGGACCCACACTTTGGGCTCCCTCCTGTAACTTAGCACCCATATTTCAAAATAACAGTAAGCTATTTCCTATCCTGTTCTCTTTTTCCTCTGTCACCTTCATTTGGACATCATGGCACTAAATATTACAGTTAACAGCATCAGTGAAAAGCTAATGTGCACATCCTAGAAAAACAACAGCAAATGTATAATTAGCTGTCTGGTTTTCCTGCTATTAATAATCCAGTGGTTCTAGCTGTTTCTGCATAAAATATGGACATGTCTTCAACTCCATATACAGCATGTGTACATTTAAATTTTAATGTGTTACTGAACAGAATAAACTACTCTTGTCTTAGAACAACACAAAAGTGTGTCAAGTAAAGGGTATAGTAAAGGTGCAGGCAATAGAAACTGCTCAAATGAAAATGAATAAAGAGGGGAGTTTTCTTTTTTTGAAATGGAGTCTCACTCTGTCTTGCCCAGGCTGGGGTGCAGTGGCGGGATCTCGGCTCACTGCAGCCTCTGCCTCGCAGGTTCAAGTGATTCTCCTGTCTCAGCCTCCCAAGTAGCTGGGACTACAGGCATGTGCCACCACACCCTGCTCATTTTGTATTTTTAGTAGAGATGGGGTTTCACCATGTTGCCTAGACTGGTCTCGAACTCCTGACCTCAGGTGATCCACTTGCTTCAGCCTCCCTAAGTGCTGGGATTACAGACATGAGCCACCACACCCGGCCAAGAGGGGACTTTTCTGATTCATGGTCTGAAACCTTGTGGCAGGCAGTGGTCAAGCTTGCCCAGAGGTGTGAGTCGACCCAGCTCTCTCATGATTTCTCTCTCTGGTTGCCTTCTCTCTGCTTCTTTCTGTGTACTGACTTCCTCCATATTGTGTCAGATATGGTCACAATCTGTTCTCTAGCTCAGCTGAGCAACCGTGAAAGAAAGAGAAATACTACCACACCAGTCAGTCAGAAAAGCCCCAGAGATTACATTTCACATAGAAACACAGAAAGGCTTCTTGTACTTTGTGGTTTCTATTTTACTGTCTCTGACTTAGTTCTTGGTCTGTTTGAGTTGCTGTGACAAAATATCTTAGACTGGGTAATTTATAAACAACAGAAATGTATTGCTCACAATTCTGGAGTCTGAGAAGTCCAAGATCAAGGCACCAGCAGATTTAATATCTTTCGCGAGCTCACTCTGTGCTTCAAAGATGGTGCCTTCTCGCTGTGTCCTCACATCGTGGAATCGGCAAACGAGCTCCCTCAGGCCTCTTTATAAGGGCACTAATCCCATTCACAAGGGCTTCACCCTCATACCTAGTCACCTCCCAAAGTCCCCACCTTTTAATACCATCACATTAGGGGTTGAGGATTTCAACATAAGAATTTTGGAGAGACACAAACATTCAGACCATAGCAAACCCCCACCCCCTGCCTAAAAAAAAAAACGGGATAATTTTTCTAGTTCTCTTCTAAAATGTCAAGGGAAATCACACATGAACAGATTTATGTAGGAGGCCGAATCTATTTTATTTAATGAATAAATAGATGGCACTGCATATGAAAAAGTGCTTGTCTTAGCACCATAGGAATAAAGGAACGTGTTAATCAAGCCAAAGCATTGCAAATAAATGATCTTGCTATTAAAACTAAAAATGGATCTCAATTAGTTAATTTGATTTTCCCCAGCTGCAAATATTAAGACATTAAGAGATTTTATTTCTCTTCCTCTCTAACCTTACCTGTTTCTAGTTCTATGCCACCCCACCCTGTACCACGATTTGAATACATTTTTTTTCTAAAACATGCAAAGCCTTTTACATTGCAAATAATTTTCATAATTTGTCTGCCAAAATAGGATTAATCTCTTTGCCTCCTTTGTCCATAAAATAATCCCCATATGTAAAATTATATTCTTCTCGGCTGTTTTCATTGTAGCCAACAATCAAAGTTAAACGCTATCACTATCCCCAGGAAATGAACAGTACTCAGATTGGTGAAAGGGAGACTTCCTGATGTTGACTTTTACGTAAGACAAGAAATGGAAACTCTGCAGTAACTTCAGAGCAAGTAGCCAGGCTCCTGGAAGATGTTTTAAGCAACACCTCCCAATGGTTTGGGTCATGGTCTCTTATGGGACCTTTGTGTTTTTGTTTTGTTTTTTTTGTGGAGATGGAGTCTCACTCTGTTGCCAGACTGGAATGCAATGGTGCGATCTTGGCTCACTGCAGCCTCTGCCTCCTGGGTCCACGTGATTCTCCTGCCTCAGCCTCCCAAGTAGCTGGGACCACAGGCACATGCCGCCATGCCTGGCTAATTTTGTATTTTCAGTAGAGATGGGGTTTCACCATGTTGGCCAGAGTGGTTTCTATCTCCTGATCTCATGATATGCCTGCCTCAGCCTCCCAAAGTACTGGGATTACAGGCATGAGCCACCACGCCCGGCCTCGTATCGGACCTCTATGAAGTTTACAGGAAATGCATAAATGTTGAAATCATTATAGAAATGTAGAGATAAAAGATAACTTATAGATCATTTTACTTTCATGATACCACAAATTGCTGTGTTTTTCTAGCAGTCTTTTATGTTATTTTTTTAATCTTCGCCTAAAAACTTACTGTTAAAACCATCAGCTATTTTTTATAAGCACTGTTTATATGACCTGTAGATTATTATTTAAAAACTTTAAATAATTAAACCAAGTTAAAAAAGAATGGAAACTTCAAGTCTCAGAGTCTTTTTATTTTTCTTCTCAAAAATTAAGGTGATACAGTTGAAAAACTAGCAGATACTGAAAGGTAGAACTATTATATAATTGGTGATCTTTCTGTTGCCTAATTTTAATTGACAAATAATAATTGCACATATTTATCGGGTAATATTCAATAAACATATATACCATGGAATGAACAAATCAGAGTAATCAACATATTCGTCACCTCAAATATTTATCCTTTTTGTGGCAAGAACATTTAAAATCCTCTCTTTTAGTTACTTTGAAATATGGAATACATTATTATTAACAATAGTCACCTTGCTGTCCAATAGAACACCAGAGCTTATTCCTCCTAACTAACTAACTTTGTACCCGTTGACCAAGAGCTTTCTTTTCCTCACCCCCTATCCCAGCCTCTGGTAACTGTCACTCTACTCTCTACTTTAGCTTTTTTATATTCCACATATAAGTGTAATTCTATGGTAAAGACCTCTCTGCCTAGCATATTTCACTAAACATAATGTCCTCTAGGCTCATCCATGTTATTGCAAATGACAGAATTTCTTGTTCTATAAAGGCTGAATAGTGTTCCATTATGTATATAACACATAATTTTTAAGAAATCAACCTCTACTGTTATTTCAGAATTCAGAAGGTTGTTTTATTTAATCATGTTCAAATATGGCTAGTATCAGTTTGGGCCATTTCCATTCCTTCAGTGTAAATTAAATCACTTTATATTCCAGGCCCTATGCTTGTTATTCTTTTTTGTTTCATAATACTGCTCCCTTTTTTAGTCATATGTTTATTTGTGTAATTACCTGTGTAACTTCTTTCCCTTCCACTGGATTGTGAGTCCCAGTGCAGAAAGAAGCACATCTATTTTGTTTATTTGTATTTCCCTAATGCTTAGTACTATATCTAGTATATAGTAAGTGTTCAATAAATGTTGAATGAATGAATGAATGAGTGAAAAAATAAATGAAATAAAAGGGCTAGTTTAAGACATTCAGCTCCGTCCTGTTCAGAGTAAATTCAAAGCATATGAGCAAATCCTTGTGTTGAAATGGATGGCCATTTCCTGCCTCTTGTTTGGCATTATAAAAAAAGAAAAAAAAGAAATGGATATCCTCAGTGATGGGAATTGGGTTCCAAGGTTCTGGTGGTAGGGCAAGAAAGGACACTGAAGAGGCCTACCCAAGATAGTCTGGGAATAGATTATTCCAATGATTAAGTCCAAGTTAAAATCTATAAAGAAAGGATAAGAGCACCAAAAAAAGGACGGAGGCCAGGCGCGGTGGCTCACGCCTGTAATCCCAGCATTTTGGGAGGCCAAGGCGGATGGGTCGCCTGAGGTCAGGAGTTCAAGACCAGCCTGGCCAACATGGTGAAACCCCATCTCTACTAAAAATACAAAAATTAGCCGGGTGTGGTGGCACGTGCCTGTAATCTCAGCTACTTGGGAGGCTGAGGCAAGAGAGTCACTTGAACCCAGGAGACGGAGGTTGCGGTGAGCCAAGATTACGCCACTGCACTCCAGCCTGAATGACAGAATGAGACTCTGTCTCAAAAAAATAAAAATAAAAAGGACGGAGGGCGGGAGACACAAGGGCAAAACCACATCCAAAAGGTGCAGATACAGAGTCAAGACAGATACAGAGTCAAGACGTAGTGTTAAGTGGATTTAAGGTCCAAGTGAAAGCAGTTCAGGAATAAAAACACATTGAATTTAGAGATATTGGCAAGCTTGGTGACGGGCCTGAAAATTGGCATCATTAGGCATCTGGATCTAACCTCATCTAATTTCAAAAGTGTCTTTGTAAACTTTATCTGGTACTAATTTTGTGGAGCTCATGCAGTTTTATTATGCCCTCATCCTTCTTGCTCATATCCAAAGAAAAAGTGCTCAATAACACACATTAAATTCTTTATTTTAAAGGAATAATACTTTGATATCCAAGAAGAAATAATTTGGCTTCTTCCTTGAGTTGACACGTGAGATGTCTCATAGTCAGTTACAGATAGTTTTTTATCCCTTTAGTCACCAGATCTTTATTTATACTTACTAAGCAATGGGCCTTTCTCAAAAAAGAGTCTTCCTAAGTAGTAGGTCTGACCTTTTGACAAGTTAATTAAAAAATACAAGGGTATTGAGAATTCCGAAGATGCATGACGCCTCTGGGGTCACTGATGTTTGCAAATGGCACCCAATGGCAAGGCTAGTGTTGTGAAGTAAATAACCCACTGTTGATATGGAGAGTAGGAGTACCCTGGTGTCTTCTATTGCACCATCAGAAATCAAATCAGCAATAGAATTCTTGACTTGTCACTCTCCTCAGTGCCCCATTTAATTCCTATGTAAAATATCGAGTTATTTTTAAATCTTCTTTTGAGTTATTGCATTCCTATTCTATTCTTCATCCACCTCTCTATTTTCTTAAATCAATGCTTATGAAATGTTAGTTAGTGTTGACATTCTCCAACTTGGTATTCCCAGCTTGCTCTCAAATTTTATCACATGCACCTTGCTCTCTACATATAACCAATTATTCTGTCAAAGTTAATAATCTAACTACACATTTTTTCCGAGCTGTGCTTCTATTTTATATGCATTTGATTTTTATCTTAGCAGTGCCTTTTGAATTTTGTTAAGAAGCTTAATCAAATAAGCTTTGAGAGACCTTACTGAATTTATGCTAGAGTTACTTTTTAGAAAGTCTGTGACTGTAAACGGTATTTTGTCCTAAAATGTTTATTTTTTATTTTAATATAGTCTGTCTATGGTTTACAAAATGATATTAGAAGTCACAGTCCTACCCACACACCCACACCAGAAACTAAACCTCCAACAGAAGATGAGTTACAACAACAGGTGAGTCAACCTATGAGATGACCTGTTAAAGGTTTACAGAGTAACAGCTATGAAAACCAGAGGGTAAATGTTAATAGTGGGTATTTTTATAGGTTATTTGTATGACTGACTGTTTCATGTGGAAGATTTGCAGTTAAAAGATAATAAAATGTTGTAATTTTAAGTATTGTAATTACTTGAAAATGTATCAATATATGGTAATGGTTTTCAAAACCCCTCACTCTTTATTTACCCAAATCCTTGTTCCTCTAACCAATTGTAAAAATCACATATGCTGATTTGTAAGTGACTCCATCATCAATAGTTACTTTGTACTCCAAAGCTCTCTTTTAAAGAGTAAGAGGACAAGAGGTTGAGAACATTGTCACACTTCCCACATCCAATGATAGGACATTTTCTTCACAAGAGTGCTTACTCTCGCTTTCTGCAGTGCTGATTTCTCTCTACCTCTTGAAGTTTTTTCTTATCACCACTGGCGTACAGCCATGGAGTCATGCTATACACTACCTCTTTTTTTTAGCATTTGATCAATGGTGTTGACTCCAAGTAATATTTCAAAGCAAACTCCAGTGTCTGAAATCAAATAATCTCATGATTGGTTCAGTTATGGGGCTTTATTCTCATTTTGACTCTTTTCCTCTGATATTTTATTATAATATAGTTTATCAAGAGTGTAAAATATACTTTTCTAGTATATTTACAATAATCAGGAAGGAAAAGTCATTCAGAGCGTTTTTAATTAAAGTTTTCTGTGTGTGATTATTCCATGTGAGCATTTGTCATGAATTGTTGATAAAATTATTCTCAAAACACATATCATTGATACTTTCTTGGTATTAGGAGATAGGATTTATTTTGAAATTATAGTAATAAATACATTTATTTTCTAAATTTGGAGGGAAGTATGATTCTGGATTTAGGTATTCACCATGAATGAACGTTTAAAATCTCTACAATTTTATTTTTTATTTTTTTGAGACAGAATCTTGTTCTGTCACCCAGGCTGGAGTGCAGTGGTGTGATCTCAGCTCACTGCAACCTCTGCTTCAGAGTCCCAGGTGATCCTCCTGCCTCAGCCCCCAGAGTAGCTGGGACTATAGTACCTGCACCACTACACCTGGCTACTTTTTGTATATATTTTTTTACAGACAGGGTCTCACTATGTTGGCCAGGCTGGTCTCGAATTCCTGGGCTCAAGTGATCCACCCACCTTGACCTCCCAAAGTGCTAGGATTACAGGCATGAGCCACTGCACCCAGCAAAATCTCTACAATTTTAAAATAAAATCACATTTTGTTAAAGTAGGCAGAATGGTCAAACTCATTGCTCTTCTAAAGTGATATCAATTGTGTTCAAATTCCAACATTTCATTTTGTTAACTCTTTAAGAGCCCTCTGCTTCTATTTTTTTAACCAACTTTGAAATTGTACTGACGTAGACTATACTCTTGTTCAGAATTGCCCAGCTGATCATGATTTAGAGTGGAAAATTGTGAAAATGTCATTACTTATGTAACTCCTTCTCTAACCCTCTTTTCAGATAAAATATTGGCAAATACAGTTAGATAGACATCGGTTAAAAATGTCAAAAGTCGCTGACAGGTGAGTATTTCAAAGTGTCTGTATAAATTTTAAAATTTCATATGACAATTACATGTGTTTAAAAATGAAAGAGAACTGTGGGGACAGGAGTTGGGACAGATAATTGGAATCCTGTAAGTAATGTGATTTTGTTTTCCTTTTTGCACATAGAAAAACTTTCAAAGAACTCTTTTGATGTAGTTTAAATGACAGAATGATTATAATTGTCTTAAATGTCTAGACATCCAGTCCTTGTTCCACTAAGAATCAGATATAGAGGATAATTCTGCAGAGTCTAGCCTTTTCACTCCTGCTGGAAGACATGAAACTTTCCATTTATTGATGACCTTTGGGCAAACTGGAGCCTCTCTATAAACTTATTTTAACAATGACAATTGACACTGTTCCTGCCTGACTTCAGAATATGAATGAAACTCAAATTTCAGATATTTTCCTTTGCTTCATTTAAATCTGTTCTTAATGCCATTCATATTCTTCACTTTTGGGCATTGCCAAATCCTACCTCCCCAACTTCTTTCCCTTCTCCCTTTTTAAAATTTTTATATACATTTAAAAAACTTGTCAGTGGCTCCCATTTTACTTAATTCCTGTAAATACTTTTGACAAAATTTCCCTTTTAAGCCCTTCTCTCAGTTGTATAAAATCTGTTCTGCTGTGGGTGGACTGATTAACCAAAGATTGGAACTGACTCTTAGCGGTGCCCTTCACACACTGACCTCTTCCATAGTGCTTCATGTTAACCAAGGGATACTGATTTACATGGCTTAGGCATGGGTAGAGATGGAATCTTTAGCCACAGTTGTCTGCCAAGAAGCACAATAAGTTGTTGCATGAAAGTTACTGAAGCGTGAAGATTGCCATTGGATTTCATGCTTTAAGTGAACAAGGATTCCTTGGTCCCACATTTTTATATTGTTTTCCCTGCTTTGGACTGGCTGCAACCCCAGTCAGAAAACTAAAGAAACTGGAAATGTTTTTTCTCCTTAGTCTACTAAGTTACACGGAACAGTATTTAGAATACGACCCGTTTCTTTTGCCACCTGACCCTTCTAACCCATGGCTGTCCGATGACACCACTTTCTGGGAACTTGAGGCAAGGTAGGTGGCATTTTATCTTTCTCGCCCATATGTTGCTTTATTTCAGGGTCTGAGTGAAATGGGAAGGATTTTATTGTTGGCTAATTGTGAATGTAATTTTGTTCTTTATCTACATTGGCCTATATCTAACATTCTTGTTCGAGATCATGGCTTTTGAAACTTAGACATTTGCATTTGCATTAAGATTTGCATTTGCATTAAGATTTGCATTGCTGGAAAGACCGTCCCAAAATTAGAGGTGCAATTAGTCAGAGTTAGGATCTTCAGCTCTTGAAATTTAGCTCATTGCTATTATCTTCCTGGAAAATTCACGTAGCCACAAAGTCTCATGTAGTCAAGTAAAGTGAATGCTAAAGCCATACATACTTAAGCCCAACACAAGTATGTCTTTATAAATTCAATTTTAAGACAGAATGAGCTTACCATAGACACTGTAAGAGAAACTGGCAAGACACTTCCTAAGAAAAGCAAAGCACCACTTAGGACTCCATAGTTTCTTTCATGAGCTATCTAGGGAAAGAACTACATCATCAGTCTTAACAGACTCATAAGAGGATCATGGCGTATCACTTTACAAAGAAAAGATGGGTGCTCTGTCACACTTCTAGCAGTTCTCTAGATTGCATTTCTGGTCTCTCTCACTTTTGCATCCAGCCATGAATCTTAAACACTGGACATGCCCAGAACTCTTCCTCCACAAGCTAAAGATTTTATAGATGAGAAAGCTGGAACCCCAAAATGTTGTGACTCAGTTGGGATTAGGTCACAGATTTAATTGACACCAGAATCATTAGCTAGTATTGAGATCTTTTGGTTACCAATGCATTTTCCCCAGTTCAATATACCTGCATGACCCTGTGTGGCGTAGTGGTTAAGAAATGTGTGCCTGGCATGGTGGCGCACACCTGTAATCCCAACACTTTGGGACGCTTTGGTGGGTGGATCACCTGAGGTCAGGAGTTCGAGACCAGCCTGACCAAAGTGGTGAAACCCCATCTCTACTAAAAATACAAAAAGTAGCCGGGCATAGTGGCAGGTGCCTGTAATACCAGCTACCCGGGAGGCTGAAGCAGGAGACTCTCTTGAACCCGGGAGGTGGAGGTTGCAGTGAGCCGAGATCACGCCATTGCACTCCAACCTGGGTGACAAGAGCAAAACTCCATCTCAAAAAAAAAAAAAAGAAAAAAGAAATGTGGCACTGGGGTCAGAATATCTGGATCTTTACCCCTTATTACTTGCCTGACATTGGCAAGTGATAATACTGTGCCTCACTGTCCTCATCTGGAAAATAATAAGATTAATAGTGGCTATCTCATAAAGTGGTTGGCAAAAACAAAAAGAGACCATTTATGTAAAGTGCCTGGCACATAATGCTCAATAAATGTTAGACTTTATTATTAATACTAATGTACACGATGATTTCATGCAGAGCCGTTAATCGGATATATATATTTTTAAAGAAAAGGTAAAGATGGGAACTTCGAGGCACACATGATTTTGAAGGGGAATGTAATAACAAAAAAATGGGAATTCTAATGAAAGGAATGTATTTGCCTTTGTTTTATCTTCTATAGCAAAGAACCGAGCCAGCAGAGGGTAAAACGATGGGGTTTTGGCATGGACGAGGCATTGAAAGACCCAGTTGGGAGAGAACAGTTCCTTAAATTTCTAGAGTCAGAATTCAGCTCGGAAAATTTAAGGTAAAACACATTGCTTGGATCTTATAAGCCAGAGAAATACTGTCTGTGATGTGTCTGGTTATTTTGGAGGTAATAGATCAATTATTCTTCCACTAACATCATAATGATGTCATGAACCCATTGAATTTCTGCCACCTAATGAAGGGAAAAGAGATAGCAAGGCAAAGGCTGTCCAACGTATCAATTTCTTATAACTTATTTTTACGCCGTCTCTGTATCTCCAGATGTTTTAACTATACAAATTTGGTGGCTTTGAAATGGACTCTGTAAAGAAATGCAGTACAGAGAACAATGTTTGGCAAAGTGGAGATTGGCCAATAACATTTATGAAGTTCAATTAAAATATCACCTATTTGTCATTGTTGACTATCTTTGCGTATCACTTCTCAAGCAAGTTAGAGAAGAAGAGACTGGGCAGCTATATCAAATAACTTGAAACCAAACTATTGGGCTGTCTCATTCTCTTTGCATGTTTAAATAATAGCCACAGGGCAATTGAGAGCAGCACAGCATTGAGCTGTTCGTGAGAGAGTGACACCCATTCTGCCCATCTGTTGTAAACATCATCTTTATATATTTTTAAAACTTGCTAACATAAGGAGGATCTGAAAATTGCATTTTTAAATATAAGACATTAGAGTGGATTTTAATAGCTCTATTTAACATCATTGAAGGGAGTGATAACTTTCCACTATATAAGACTGTTGTTTCATGAGTTCTTTCATTCATTATTCTTTTGAAAGCTGATGCCCAATTTTTACTTTTCCATGACTTATGCAGTCCTGTAAAATTCATTTACTGAAAGTTCTCTGCATTCATTTATTTTCATTGGAACGAAGTAGTGCCAGGCATGGTCACGTTCTTTTCAGGAGATTTAACAGGTAGGAATCCCAAACCATTCAGAAAGATGTAGGACGCTGACACATGTCGCATGGATGAAGCAAAATGACCACAGACAGAACCCGGAGGAATGTAACTCTCTGTGTGTGCCTGGCATGGATTGCTGGCATGCAGCTTCCTATTCTCCTTCCAGTTTATGGGAACCCTTCATGCTTGGGCTTTTGCAAGATCTTGCTGCTAAAGTTGCTAAAGTTCTGTATTGAGACTACTAATAACATTTTCTATATTAGGTCACATTGTCAATAATTGAGTGCAAGAATTCATTAAAAGGCTAGGTGCGAGGGCTCACGCCTATAATCCCAGCACTTTGGGAGCCGAGGCAGGTGGCTCTCTTGAGGCCAGGAATTTGAGAGCAGCCTGGCCAACATGGCAAACTCCATCTCTACAAAAAATTAAAATTAAAATTAACCGGGCATGGTGGCACATGCCTGTAGTGCCAGCTACTGGGGAGGCTGAGGAATGAGAATCGCTTAAACCCAGGAGGTGGAGGTTGCAGTGAGCTGAGATTGCACCACTGCACTCCAGCCTGGGCAACAGAGCAAGACTCTGTCTCAAAAAAAAAAAAAAAAAAAGAATGCATTAAAAATAAAGCAGAGATAAAGGATCCTTGAGGCATTTTAGTGGCTAGGGAGATGGACATTCCTCTCATTCTCTAAGTTTTTGAAAACATGCTGATATCATTTGTATCATCATGAGTAAATAAATAAGTAATAAGCCTTACCAGCCTCACCTAGCCAAATAAAAACATCGCCTTCTCTCATTAAAATTACAGTCTATTGGTAGATACAGACAAGAAAACAAATCACAGCACAAAATCATGGGTGTTTAGTTGGGAGAAGCAGAGAGGGATGCCTAGCCCAGAGTTAGAGATCAGCGAAGGGATACTAGGGGAAATCGCTTCTAGGCTAAGAGCTGGACAATGGGGAGGAGATAAACCATCAAAACAGGAAGAGAGAAGATGCCTTTGGAAAAAGAGGATAGCATGTGCATACTAGGTTTCAGGCATGAATTGAATTCCTGCCAATTTCTTAGTTCAAGCTTTAATCATTTCATATCTTAATCATTCTATGCCGTACTAGACTCTAGGCTAAGTGATTATATCTAAGAAATATTAGATTATCTTATATATATACACACACATTATATACATACACACATATACATATATTTCTTGAGTATCTACTATATTGCCTATCATATGTTTCCTTAGTAAGTATAGATCAGTAGATAAATGAAAGATGTAGATTAATTCTTGAATACCTACAAGACACCAGAATATATTTTATATCTACTACTTTTATAAGTATGCTGTTATATTTTGCATTCATTATTTCTGATCATCACACATCCAACCACCAAAACAACATAAAATGTAAATATTGCCTCATTTTATAGATGAGAAAAGCGTGGCTGAGGAAGGTTAAGCCGAGAAAGTGTGGCTAAGGAGGTCAGATTGCATGTAAGTGGCATTCTTGGTTTCCTACAAACCAGTACCAAGCTACTGTCCACTGCTCCCCAAATCTGAGCCCTACTCTGCTTCCACTGACATATCTGTGTCACACACTGAAGGAGACAAAATGGTCCAGTGGTCAACAGGGCTGTGAATTGCACTTAAAATAAAATAACTCTCCGTGCATCTTACCTAAACAGCTGCCCTCCTGCTATCAGTGAGTGTGTCACTCGTCTGAGCATTTTTTTTCAAATATTAGGACAGGAAAAAAATAAGAAGCACTGTTTCTCGATAACTACTTATGCTTCAAATATACCCTCTGCTCTCCCTAATAGAGAGCAGAAACTTGAAATTTTATGATGTATTTCCCTCATTCTTTTTTTTGAGCAAAACACATAGCATAGAGCAAGTGCTAAGAAAACATAGTAATATCATGAGTTTTTATCTTTGAGTGACTAAAAATATGCCAAGTACTTTTCAGTGCCTTCTATATAATTTATATCATTAGTATACATTAACGGAATTAATTTAATCAACTAATCCAATGGAAACCAATTAATCCAGTGGAAACCCAGTGAAATAGGCGTTATCATCCCATTTTACTGATGAGGAAATCAAGAATCAAAGACATTAAAAATACTTACTTAGCTTCCACCTATATAAAGGATATAGGATTTTTTTTTTTTTTTAAGAGAGATGGGATCTTTCTCTGACACCCAGGCTGCAGTTCAGAGACACTGTCATAGCTCATAGCAGCCTTGAAATCCTGGGCTCAACTGATCCTCCCACCTCAGCCTCCTGAGTAGCTAGGACCACAGGTGCAAGCCATTGCACCTGGCTCCTCCATGCTATTAAGCTATTACAATAATTACAGTAATGGTGAGAATAAGAAAGGCAATGATGCTGTTAGAAAGACCGTGTGAGGGAGTGGTTGTGAGCATGTCATCTGCTGCAGATCTTCTGGGAGCAAACCTCAGCTGTGACAGTAATAGTGAGCAACCTTAAATAAGCAACTTAATCTTCATATGCTTAGTTTCCTCTTCTCTAAAATGAGGGAAATAATAGAACTTGCCTAATAGAATTACTGTGGGAATTAAATGAGTTAATATAGGTGAATCACTTAGAGCAGTGCCTGCACTTACATAACAGTGTAGGTGTGGTTATTAACTTCTCAACCCCTTTATATTTTATGCTTATTTCCAGGCCCATTTCAGATGTCACTGGATTTAGAATAGCTTTGTCTAGATCCCCCTTTTCCAATCCAGCACTTGCCCCAGCAGAGGGGCTCTTTCCTGCTTGCCTTTCCCAGACCGTCTAGTTCGTTCTCTTCCTAGAGAGCCATTCATGTACTTCCTGGTGTTACGGCCAATTAAATGGTTTATCTTTTTCTCTACTCATTCTTTGAGGACAGAGACTGTTTTGATTGATGTGTTCAGAGTGTGCTGGCATGAACTTGCCTGAGCATATGTTAATTTCAACACTTCTGCTCCCTCGGATTATGCGTAGTATTCCCTTTTTTTTTTTTTTTTTTTGAGATGAAGTTTTGCTCTTGTTGCCCAGGCTAGAGTGCAATGGCATGATCTCTGCTCACTGCAACCTCCACTTTCCGGGTTCAAGCGATTCTCGTGCCTCAGCCTCCCGAGTAGCTGGGATTATGGGCATTCGCCACCACACCCAGCTAATTTTTGTATTATTAGTAGAGATGGGGTTTCACCATGTTGGCCAGGCTGATCTCAAACTCCCGACCTCAGGTTATCTGCCCGCCTCAGCCTCCCAAAGTGCTGGGATTACAGACGTGAGCCACCATGCCCAGCCTCGCATAGTATTCCTATTAGAGTGCACAGTGTCTAAATCTGTGTTTTAAGAGGGAAAGGTCTTGAGCCTTCCTTTCTAAAAGTCATGGTGGTAGTTTCCTGTTTGAGGCGTTGTCAAACTTAGATTATCCTCTGCTACATATATCTATAAAAAAACAAAATCTGGAAATGAAAACTCAAAAATCACTAGACTGAGTAGTAGTTGATATTCTAATTCTAGCTCATGCACTTCATTACTGATTTCTGATTATTTATTAATGGTCAAGTTAAAGCTTAGTAGTTACGAAGGTACTGCTGATCACCTGTGCCTCTCTTAAGACTCTGTAGCCTGAAGTTTGCTGTCTCTGTGGCCCTCTTTGCCTTTCTTTGACTTCGTCTACTATTAGAGCAGTAAGAGTGTTTATGGAGGATAACACAGTCCTAGCAGCTCCTTTTTCTAGTAGAGTGTTTGTTTCTATTAACAAATTATGATATACTCATTTATCTTTTAAACATTATTTCTAGAGATCTAACCAGCAAGCTCTAGCCTAGAGCAAAATATTGAAGAAATGCAACCGATTAATACAATGTGGCCCCTTCTCACTAGACTTTACCACTTGCTATTATCAACCAAAACACACTCCCAGGTTCTTTCAGTATACATATGGTATAAATAAGTCTATCTTCAGAAGTAAGTCAGTATATATTATTCCGTGGCTTCTGAATTGCAATGATGCCTCTACACATTTCAACTTTTCAAATAATTCCATGTGAAAGCTTGCTGCTTTGGTCATTCCATAACTCTCTCAATTAAATTACCTTAACATTAGTTAATTGTTTTTATTTTTCCAGCCAGAGCATTTTCTGATCTTATGTCCAGGCCTCTTTTAACTCCAGCAAAGCTTCTTTGTAATTCCCTTACCACCTAGAACAGAAAAGGCTCTCCATACTAGCCCCCATTGCTGAAATGGACAGAACATCCAAAGAACACAGTGTAATGCACAGCTTTATCTCCCAATTGGAGGCTCCATGTCCCACACCTTTAATTCCCTTCAAACTCCTCTTTGTTTTCAATCAACAGTCAGAAGTGCTACTTTCCTTAGGTAAAATCAGTGTTATACGGGGCTCTGACAGATCTGCTTTTAACAACAAACACTTAGAAGAGAGAGTTTTTCATGTTTCTTTATATTTTTATTAATATTTTTTATTTATATTTTTAAAATATTTTTATTAATATTTTTATATTTTTATTAATAATTATTTTTCATAATAATCTTCCAAAGAAGATTATCCTTTGAACACAGTCAGTACCACCCTGATACTGGAAGCCCTCAGAGAAAGTGAGCTGGCTGTGAGTCGTCATGATGAACTGCATGATCCGTAAATGTCACAAGAATTTTCAGATGATGGGCCATCAGAGTAAACACCCGATCTCACATTCTGCATAGATTCTGGCTGGCAGTGGAGGACCTGAAAAAGAGGCCTATTAAAGAAGTACCCTCAAGAGTTCAGGAAATATGGCAAGAGTTTCTGGCTCCCGGAGCCCCCAGTGCTATTAACTTGGATTCCAAGAGTTATGACAAAACCACACAGAACGTGAAGGAACCTGGACGATACACATTTGAAGATGCTCAGGTGGGTGTACGGTGAGCCTCACACCACAAACGTGCTTCCGAGAAGTTGAGCGTTAGATGTATTCATTTTATTTTCATTCTAAATGGCAGCTATTTCTAACATTTTCAATTTAGATAACTGTAAAATAACTCTAACTGATCTAGGAAGGAACAAAGACACATTAAACTGAATAGTTTTTTTAAAACCTGGGAATATTTTCTAAGTTTGAATATTTTTATATGAAGGGGCATATTTGAAATATTTTACAACTTTTACTTCATTTTCTACTCTGTTTGTCCCCCCAGTAAGTGAGCAAACACCATCTAATGATGACCCCACCTCAGTAAAAGATTTTTTAAAACATTTTTTTAAAAAGATTTAAAATCTTTAAGGCATCTTCAATGTAGACATTCTAAGACTCTGACATTCCTGAATTATTCATTATTATAAATTATTCAAACTGAATTAGCTTAAAGTTATGTCAAACTCAAACCAGTTTTATCTCTGGTGAAAAAAAAAATCAAACATTAGATTCTGACATTTCTTAAATTTTCAAGTTAATTTTTTAGCCTACAGAAAGAAAAAATAAGGAAAACTGATTCTAACTTCCTAAGGCAAATTTTCAGTCATCTTTTCTCAAACTGGATCTTAATTCCCTTTGTAGAAACAACTTGAATTTCTGCCTTCTCTCAAAAAATGTTGAAACTTAAGAAGAAAAATAAACTTGTAATGAGGGGATAGTGTTTCCTAATAATGTGGTATTTTATTTTATTTTATTTTATTTTTGGAAACAAGTTCTCTCTCTGTTACCTACAGTGGCATGATCATGGCTCGCTATAGCCTTGGCCTCCCAGGCTTAAGCAATCCTCCTACCTCAGCCTCCCAAGTAGCTGGGACCATAGGCATGCACCACCATGCCTGGCTAATTTTTTTTTATTTTTTTTTGTAGAGACAGGGTGGGTCTCCCTATGTTGCCCAGGCTGGTCTCCAACTCCTGGGCTCAAGCAATCCTCCCACCTTAGCCTCTCAGAGTGCTGGGATTACAGGCATAAGCCACTGCACCCACTCCCTAATGATGTGTTGAAGTTGGTTTTTAAATCAGAACGTGCATACTTCATAACTTCTTAAACTTCTTTTGGAGAAGAATATTAATTCTAAAAAGTACCTTTTAAAAAACACACATTACTAAAATAAAATATAGAAGATGAAGAATGAGATACACGAATATCCTTCCTTATTTCCACTCTCTATAGAAAATATATTTCTCCTTGGCTTTCATTTAAAGAAATCAGCAACTGTGTAGTAAACTAACATGAATTTTAACAGCTAACTGGATACCTATCCCATGTGGTTCAGCCATGGTCTCCAATGTAGAAATAATTACACTCTAGAGAGACACAGGACAGAGAGCAGGCCAGAAACTCTGGCCCTGCTGCTCACTTCTCTGCTGATTTTTCTTTCTTTCAGTCCAAGATAAAATGCCGAGCATCTTTCTAGAGCCAACAATGTGGAAAATGTTTGGAATGCCCTTCCTGAGGTTTAAAATAGAATTTTTTTTAGTTATCGGTGTCATTTAAAAATATTCTTGCCTAAGAGGATCCTCTTTTCTTACAGAAAAAAAAATTCTATAGAAAACAATACCACTTGGCCCTAGATTTCTTTTTCAGTTAAGCTCAGATATTTAATTCTAGTTTTTTTTGTGGTTTTTAAAAAAAATCTGATCGTAAGGTAAATTGCCTGGGTTCTGATTTCAGCTCTGCTCTGTGACCACTTCTCCACGCCTCAGTTTCTTCACCTGTAAAATGGACATAATGGTTACCAACCCCATAGGGGTTTTGTAAGGCTTATATTAACTAATACAGGAAAGCACTTAAAAGAGTACCTGCCATATACCCAAGTATATTTGAGCACTTACTATCCACACCCCATGCTTTGCTACACATTTATTATTCCTTTAATCATCACAACAATGCTATTTTATAGATGAGAAAATTAAGGATCAGAGAGATGAAAAAGTTGGCCTATATTTATCCCATTTGTAAGTGGTAGTTCTTGAGCAAGGTAGAATGTGAATCTCAAAATGCTTAACTCCAAAACCAGCCATTGCTCTACTTTTCAAACAAATTCCCATACAGTTCCAAACTTAACATCCTTTGAAGATCACCATTGGGCTAAGTCTTGAGATTTAATCCTGAATGTCTTTAAATGAATTTAAAGTAACTTCAAATTATTGCTGTTGTGTTTAAGACCAGAGAACTGGAGTCATTTCTTGAAACATCTATTTTCTTCAAGAAAAAAAAAAAGAAAGAAAAGAAAACTGGAACATTCAGAATGCTCTCCAATAGTTCCAAGCTCTACACCTAACTGATATTTCACTAGAGTTGGAAGATCAAGGCACATGTTAGCTCCCTGAGCTGCGGTAGACCAGAGTGGAACCTCCCTAGATTGGGTCTAGATTGAATTGAATGAGTACCTTTTTCCTTTTTTTTTTTTGACTTGTCTATCAAAATTCATCATCAAAACAGAATATTGCAAACTTCTTAGGGGCAAATGATCAACTATTTACCTAATCTGTCACTGGGTAAGTAATAAGAAAGAGCACACAAATTTGGAGATTTAGCAATTAAATATCACAAAATTTATTTTTGGACTTGTGCTCTGACCCAAAGTGGGTATGGAAGACAATTTTCCATGCAATTTGTACCAAAGAGATGATTTGATTCTTCTGGGTAGTTGGCACCCTCCCAGTAAATGTAGAGGCCAAAGGTATCCAGGATGATTACTCAGTCTGAGTCAACATTACCCACTTCAGGCCTGGAGTAGTTTTAAGAGACAGCAAATTTAGTTATATTCTCTAGTGATCTATATAAGTCAACAACTTGATTTGAGGTAATTTTATGACATTTTATTAATCAAATTCCATTTTTGTAATGACTGGATGTGATTTGCCTCCTCAGTAGCTCCTAAACCAATTTAAACAATGATCTATGAATGAGATAATGAATTTGAAGATCTAAATATCCTGTAAATAGAAGGTATTCTAATCAGCATTGTTATTACTATTTTTCGCTGCTACTAGATTTGTTCTTTAGCCATGTGTGACATCATGATATTTTACTTTTCCCAAGAAATCATAAAGAAGCACCTCAACCATTATTTCTTTTTAGGAGCACATTTACAAACTGATGAAAAGTGATTCATACCCACGTTTTATAAGATCCAGTGCCTATCAGGAGCTTCTACAGGCAAAGAAAAAGGTACTGGTTTTTTGTGAGTTGTTTTTTCTTGGCCTAGTTCTCAGTTATAATTATTTGGAGTAATTACCTCTGCTGAATCCAGGGTATTGGACTAATGGTAAGTGAACATACTCCAAGACCCTCCCCCAAACCTTTGCATTTTATAAGGGCCATTTAAGTTGTTTCTGTTTGTTTATTGCTTATTGTATTACTTTCTGTTTGTTTGTTTCTGCAGATGTTCATGCTTTGCAAAATTTATTAGAAGCTGTTTTCATGTTTCATGTTAGTCTTCTGTATGCCTAGTTTCATGGAATCAAAATTACAATAAAGAAAAGAAAGTAACAAAGTCATTAGGTCAAAAACTTGAAGAGAGGTTTCTTTGTTTAGTAAGCTAGAATGTATGTTTTGAACCACAGGCCTCATAACTGAAAGTAGACTCACCTTTTTCAATAATAGATGACAAAATGTCGGAATGTTTGCTTCCGAATATTTTTATTTGGCATTTATCCTGAATCACTTAATATCCCTGTGATGAATTTTATACACCTAGCATGGTAGCCAAGCACATTATGGGGGTATTGTAGTAGACCTCATTATTCAACAATGTTAATAATCAATGTCTCTCTGTTCATAACTCCTTATGTAATCAATATAACAGGGAAGAGAAAATCTGGACATAAACATCAACGTCATTCATTCTTTTTAATGTTAAAATAGTTCATAGCTTCTTGAAACTCTGAGTTTAAATTATAATTTTGTGTAGTTCATGATCGTCATGTAGGCTAATAAGATTTTTAAAAGTCCATTGCCTTTACAACTAGAAATGGATACTTTGTAGTAACACTATCCAGTACAGCAGTCACTAGCCACGTGGGACTGTTTAAATATTAGTTAATTAAAATTATATAACATTCTAGCCAAATTTCAAGTGCTCAGTAACCACAGCTAGGGGCTTCTGTATTGGACAGCATAGAATGAGATTTCCATCCTTTTGGAAAGTTCTATTAGACATTAATGCTCTATGGAATTAATGATGTTGTCAATAGGAATTTTTTCTCATAAAAGTTTTGAGGAAATTCTGAGGATATGCTGCTAGATTTTTAAATATTTAGGCTCTGCAAATGTCAGTATAAAGGCTTCACATATCCACTTTATTTTGGCTGAATTTGATTTTGCTTGAATCACACCATTTTGTTTGTACAAGGAAAGTTTTTGGTGTAAGCAGAGCCCATGTCCTGTGAGAAGAAGCCTCCCTTGGCGGCTCTCCAACCTCTATGGGCCTTCTGATTTAGAACATGGATTTGGTGTTGCATCATTTCATTATCCTGTCTTTTTCTGCTCTGTTTTCCTTGCTTTCTTTCTTTTTTTTAATCTTCCCTTATTTCCCTTCATCCTATCCTACCCCACATACGTAAGTCTGGAAACTCAATGGATCGCAGAACATCTTTTGAAAAATTTGCACAGAA
Organism: Homo sapiens; assembly: GCF_000001405.40. Taxonomy (NCBI): domain Eukaryota; kingdom Metazoa; phylum Chordata; class Mammalia; order Primates; family Hominidae; genus Homo; species Homo sapiens. The sequence goes on along the minus strand of NC_000001.11, from coordinate 240,801,458 downwards.
TGTGGTAAGTTTAATTTTTTGAGGAATTATGAATCATTAAGTCCAATGAAATTTTTCCAATTTCCCTATTTCTAGCCCTGTTACCCACCTTGCATTCTTGATATAACAGCAAAAGTGTTTCTTTTATTCAAATTCAGAACTTCATGTTTTCTGCTTATCTTTCTGTCCCATCCCTTTCCAAAGTAGAAAAAGATGTTATATATGAACAAGTTATCTGTACAGAATTAAAGTTTGGAAAGAAGTTTATATTACAACATATAAAAGGAAGGAATAATAATTATTCTTTATATTTTATTTTTATTCCTTGTATTCCTTTCTTTATTAAAGATAGTGCATGTATTTCTATGCTCTTTCCCTTAGCCCTTCCTGAGGCTTAAAATGTTAAGAACAATGAGGGTTCTATGCGTTTTACTTCTGCAGAGAGAAAATGATCTACTGAGCAGTTTAAAATTAAAGATTTTATATGAGTGGTGGTTGGTGACAAGATATGCCCCACCAGAGACCCACTAGCCTGCCTTTCTTATTCCTTATTTTTCAGGAAGGTGTTGAAAACTGTTGCATAAATCACCTGAGAAACCAGTAGTTTTCCTACCAGTGTTTTCTTAGTATCTTGCCATGTGTTTTGATGATATATATTTGTTTGTAAGATTCTTTTTTTTGTATTGTGCCAGTGCCTTTGGAACTTTCTGACATTGTGTAAGCTCAAACTAAAGCCTTCAACACATTTATTTTTATAGGGCAGAAACATCCCTATTTTCCCATGCCATAAAAACTGTACACCAACACTGAGGGCCAGCACTAACCTGTTATGAAAAGAGGTAGAAAAATCTTGGTTTATACTCAAGTTTGTCTGCATTGTCTGTTGAGTTGTGTGGTTTAGCTCCATGCTGCTGTGTGTGTGTGTGTTGTGGCTTTTGCTGTGATGGCCAGTTCAGTGGAGTTATGTGTGTTGAAATGTGAGCAAACTGGATTCAACAAAGATAATGGCTTTTGTTTTCAGTTTCCTTCAAGGATCCTTGTGGTGGGGAATGTTACTCATTTCTACTTGTGAATTACCATTGCAACGGTACACAGAGTATTTGAAAGAATTTGAACAGTAATATATACTGTGAACATTCAATGTGATTGCATGAATTAAAGGGATGGAGAATGATGGACTCCAGGAATTAATCACATTGTAAATAAATTTTATGAAATTTTGGCTGGCACTATTGGAACCTCTGTTCTTTAATACAGAATTTTCTGAAGCATGCCTCATAAGTCACCATGGGGCAATAAAGACAATGTCAAACAATTCTCCAAGATTTTGCTGGAGAAAGTGACTATCAGATAATGTGAGGTACTCTGTGTATTGTTTAAGAAGCATTTCAAGTTAATCCTTTTCAAACGTAATGCTGACAGAATATACTGTTCTTGAAATTACAATGGAAATTTCTGTGATATAATTTAAAATAGTGATGTAACCTGGGGAAGATGGAAAGGGGAAGTCAAATGGTTGTCCTTCTTCCAACATCATATCTAACCCACTTCTCAAACTCTTAAAATAGTACCATATGGTCACACACTGCAAACTTTAAGAAAGGGCCAACAGGAAACAAGGGGAAGGGAGGACTGATCATCCACACCTTCAATCAAAATTCACACAATTGCCACCTCTATTCTAAACCATGTGCTATGTCTTGGGACCATGTAGAAAGTATAGACTTGCAGCCATGTCCAACCCTTTGAATGCAAGGACATTTTTGCTTATCTGTGGTGGTAGATGTTATAAAAATTATGCACAGACCTTTTTTTTAAGATTATTCGTCATTAGTGTTAGTGTATTTTATGTGTGGCCCAAGATAATTCTTCTTGCAATGTGGCCTAGGGAAGCCAAAAGGTTGGATATCCATGGTAGAGCTTGATCTCAAAGGTACCCAATGGTATAGACAAAATGTTAGGATGTACAAGGGAAAGATAAACAATTTCTACTGGGTGTTAGGGTGAGGAGGGAGGGCCCATATGTAATCTGAGAAATCCCAGAAGTTACATTTAACTGAATTTGCAGGATTTCACTAGACCAAGAAGAGCAACCACCTTCTTAAAGAGAAGTGGAAAAAAAAAAAACAACTGGAATTACTGAAGGAAAAGAAGTTGAATACCATCCACACACACACACACACACACACACAAACATAGACACACACACACACACACACACACACAAACCATAATAATAACTTTCAGACACTGTTGCTTAGTGTTAATCCTTTTCCATCCAGGAAAATAAAATGCAATCTTTTTTATTTAATACCTTTATTTGGGTGTTATTCTGAAGAAATGGAGTAAGGAAATTAAAAGGTTCTCTGAATTTCCCCTTGGTTTAGTGTTCCGTATTTTATAACTTCATGGTCGGCAGCTGTATCAAGCATCTTAGATCTTTACATACTAAATTTTATGAGACACCTTTATAGGATCAATAAAATAATTTAATGGAAGATAAAGAATGAGTGATTTTATTATAATCAGATAGACTTACTGGAGTAAAGATGGAATTTATGTAAATATTTTAAAGGAATCCTCTACACAGGTTGCTCTGGTACATACAGGGAGGCTACAAGGTCAACAGTATCCAAGAAAGAAATGGAATAGGGGAAAATAGTAAACAAATATGTAGTCTAGGAAAATAATGGGGAAAAACTCACATTCATTGAATATCTGCCATGTACCAGGCTCTGCACTGGGCGCTTTATAATATTATCTAATTTAATCCATATGCTGGCCCTGTAAGGTAGATATTATTATAGCCATTATTTTACCCATTTTGTAGGTAAGAAATTTAAAGGGTCAAAGGAGGTGCATAATTTGCCCAGAGTCACATAGTTAGGGAAGGAGCTGGGACTGACTCCAAATGTATTTTGTTCCCCAGTGCTATTTCCACGGATCCACCCTGCTCTTTGACATTCTCCCAACTGACAAAAAATAAATAAACCTTGCCACCTGATGATACCCACCTCCCCAGTCTGAGTCCATTTCCAATGCGTGCCTATTTTTGTAAGTTGATTTACATGTTCCAGCCTAGGGTTTTTATAACCAAGGTTAGAAAAATGGCATTGTTGTTTTTGTTTCACCCCAGAGACAAAAATATTTTGCTAGCCAGCTTTTGCAGGGGAGTTTTTGTTAGTTACCCAGATTCATAAATACTTACTAGCACTTTAGAGAAAAATTATAATAAACAGCTGAGGATTGCATTGCACTTTCAATTTTCCAAAAAATATAGACTCCTTTTTGTGTGTTTTGTTGTTGTTTTGGTCATTGTTTGCATGCACAACAATCCTGGGAGGTAGTCAGGCAGGTATCACCTTTTTTCACAGACAAAAAAATGGGGAAATAGTGAGGTGAGGGCACCTTCACCAATATCTTCCAGCTGTTGAGCATTAGAGCTGGAACTCGAAGCAAGCTTTTTCTTTTACTTTAAATTCATTACTCTTCATAGATTATTCTTATTCTTTTCATTAATCCCAAAATGGGTAGGAGAAAAATAACTCACATTTGTGTAATGCCCGCATTGGGGTTTGTTGTCTCAAGAAAGCTCCTTTTCATGTCTTGTTTACTCTTTTATTTCTTTATTTTTCTTGCTATCAGAGAAGTCTCTTAAGGTTGGTCTTCCAAGGGTTACTATGTCCTCTCATACCTTTAAATGTTATTAAGTTGACTTTATTCTCTTTCAAAAAGGTTCATATGCTTTAAGAATTATGAAAATTATTTTCTTCATCACCATCATCAAATCTGACACCACTTTTTCAGCCATTAAAATATCATAGCATCTGCTGGGCATGGTGGCTCATGCCTGTAATCCCAGCACTTTGAGAGGCCGAGGCGGGTGGATCACCTGAGGTCAGGAGTTCAAGACCAGCCTGGCCAACATGGTGAAAGCCTGTCTCTACTAAAAATACAAAAATTAGCCGGGCGTGGTGGTGCACACCTGTAATCCCAGCTACTTGGGATACTGAGGCAGGAAAATTGCTTGAACTCAGGAGGCAGATGTTGCAGTGAGCAGAGATCATGCCATTGCACTCCAACCTGGGTGACAAAAGAGAAACTCTGTCTGAAAAAATAAGAAAAGATAACATGATAAGATAAGAAAAACCATAGCATCTGTCTGCTATGCAAACATTAAGGAGGGACAGATAGAAAACAAAGGAAAAACAGGGTAGGATGACTGATCAGCCACACCTTCAATCAAGATTCATAATCAAGTGCCAGCTGTGTGACTCACCTTCTGTCTTGTCTTTGTGTGAACAATATCAGTTTCCCGGAAAGTAGCTACAGTTCTTCACTGACTGAAGACTAATTGGTTGTGGAGGTCTGTCATTAATGTGTAACACACTGGTTTTGTCTTTGTGTGAAGTGGAAATTAAATCAGCCTGGCTCTGGGCTACAAAAGTAGAAAAGTAAAAATGAATATTAGAAAGTATTGATGTTGAACACCCAGGGAGTCACCTAATCTTATCTCTTTTTGAAAATATTTTCACTCTATCTTAATGAAGACAATTATCTGTAGAGACTTTAAAAGAATCAATAGAAAAAAGATGATGCCTCCTTGGCTATCCCGTTCTCTCTGTCCTGGTGTATTTGTGCTGGTGGATTGAGCTCCTAACTGTGCTCTGGGGACTGCAAGGAATGACCAGAAGTTGTGGAGACTCCGTGAGAGAAATTTAACAGGAGTGGGTTGGCCCTGAAATCAGTTGATCTTTAGGATCAAATCTGTTTGTTGTTATTGTTGTTGTTGTTGAGACACAATTTCACTCTGTCACCCAAGCTGCAGTGCAGTGGCACGATCTCGGCTCACTGCAACCTCTACCTCCATGGTTCAAACAATTCTCCTGCCTCAACCTCCTAAGTAGCTGGGACTACAGGCACCCGCCAACACTCCCGGCTAATTTTTTGTATTTTAGTAGAGATGGGGTTTCACCATGTTGGGCAGGCTGGTCTTGGACTCCTGACCTCAAGTGATCTGCCCACCTCAGCTTCCCAAACTACTGGGATTACAGGTGTGAGCCACTGTGCCCAGCCGAAATCTGTTTTTAACTCTGTAACTCAATTGTTTAAATGTTGATAGGAGCAAATGTAAATGTAAATCCTCTTATTTGAAATAGAAAACAAAGAAGATACAACACTTAGTTCCTTTAGAATGTTATTTTGATTAAATAAAATTAAATGATTTATCTAAGCCCACTGTGGAATTACTGGTTAATACAGCCTTATGCAGATTATATATAAGTGGTAACATGGTAAAAAGAGCCTGGGCCAAGGAATTTGATGTGTTTCTATTTAGGTTTGAAACCTAGTCCTATATATTCTAGCCATGTGAATTTTAAAAAATCATTTAAGGCCGGGTGCAGTGGCTCATGCCTGTAATCTCAGCACTTTGTGGGGCTGAGGCGGGAACGTGGCTCTAGGCCAAGAGTTCAAGAACCACCTGGGCAACATGGCAAGACCCCGTCTCTGCAAAAATAATAATAATTATAATAACAATAAAAGAAAAAATCATTTAAACTGCTGAACCTCAGTTTCTTCACCTCTAGATGACCCTCTCTACCCAGACACAGCTCCAATTAGCATTTTGCACAAATAAATATAAATACTTAAGAATTTGAATTATATTTAAATATTCTTTTGAAACATTCTTTATTCACTTAAAATGCATTGTAAATGTCTTCCAAATAATTGACTATTTTTCTACATGATTCTATTTATTAACCATGCAAAATTCTTTTGAATGGATATGCCCTGTAATTTTTCTGATCATCTATTAATGGACGTTTGGGTTGTTGCTTATTTATTATTCATTGCTTTTATAGGTCAAAGTACAATAAAATCAAAGTTATATATTGATTTTCTTTTCATAAAAAATTGAACTGCTTGGTTAAATGGAATGTAAATTTACAAGGGAAGAGGTATCCATTTATCTCTTTTTATCTCTTTTGTATCTTTATTTTTTCCTTCATGCAAGAGCATACACTAGAGGGAAAAATAACTTATTCTGGAAGGTGGGAATCAGATGTTGTATTCCTGATTTCCAAAACCAGTGTGTTACACATTAATGACAGACCTCCACCACCAATTAGTCTTCAGTCAGTGAAGAACTGTAGCTACTTTCCGGGAAACATATTGTTTTTTTTAAGACACTGTTGAAAACTTGAAGGATACTTTTTAGTCCCTGGTCAAATGATTTTTAACTTGGTTTGATTTTTGTTGGTGGTGGTGGGTTTTTTTGTTTATTTGTTTGTTTGAGACAGAGTTTTGCTCTTGTTGTCCAGGCTGGAGGGCAATGGTGTGATCTCGGCTCACTGCAACCTCCGCCTCCCAGGTTCAAGCGATTCTCCTGCCTCAGCCTCCAAATAACTGGGATTACAGGCATGTGCCACCAGGCCCAGCTAATTTTTTTGTATTTTTAGTAGAGACGGGGTTTCTCCATGGTGGTCAGGCTGGTCTCGAACTCCCGACCTCAGGTGATCCGCCTGCCTCGGCCTCCCAAAGTGCTGGGATTACAAGCATGAGCCACCACGCCCAGCCTTACCTGGATTTTATTAAATGTAAAATCTAGTGTGAGATTTCCCTCCATATTCTAATAACCTATAAAACGTATAAAACTATAATCTGGGAACTCCCCTCTGCATACAGTGTAAACCTGTGAATAATACAGGTGCCACGTCTGGGAATCACAGCCCCAGCCCAGCTATGGAGCCAGGGTAGGAGCAGTGCAGTACAGTGTCAAATCTACTTGGGCAGTCCCTCAGCTGCCCATTCCTGGCACGTTTGGGATGGACCTTGGTTCTGTTCGGGATTGAGTCATGTCCCTCCTGGCTGAACACTCTGGACTTTACTGATTGGACCTACATGCACATTAGTGTAAATAGGCTATTTTGGAAAGGGTCCTAGGACAAATAAAAAGAAAACATATAAACTTGCCATTGGATTTGTTCCCCATAAATAATCCCAACAGAGAAAATTGACCTGGTGGCCTGGGATCCACGCATCTGCTACATTGATATCATTGTTTTTATATACCATTATTCTAGTTTCTAAATCATTCATTCATCAACAGGTAGTAAGTTTTGACTAAGTGTCAGGTTATGTGATACTCTTTGTGGTTAAAAAAGACAGCTTGGCTGTCCTTACTTTCACTTCCCTTGATATCAATCTCTACCACAATAAAGTAGAGACAAGCCTTAGAGTATTCAGAAAGTTCTTTTTCTAGATTATATATATATTAATGAAGTTGTAGGCATGGTAAGAGCTCCACAGAGTGAGTCAGATCCTCAACTGACACAAACACCCATCATAATGAGGCAGATTATCTGCTTCACAAAACACTCATCATAGGACACAAGCAGACTTGGAACCTACGAGAAGGAAGGTTTTGATTTTACATCTCTGCCCTGTGAATTTACCTTAAAGAAAGCCTTTGTGCATATTATTTTAGGGTTGAGTGCTATGGATTCTGTTGCTTGGGATTATAGATACACTAATATAGGTAAACTACGCTTAAAAATTCCTACTATGGCTGGGCACGGTGGCTCACGCCTGTAATCCCAGCACTTTGGGAGGCTGAGGCGGACTGATCACAAGGTCAGGAGATCGAGACCATCCTGGCTAACACGGTGAAACCCCGTCTCTACTAACAATACAAAAAAAAATTAACTGGCCATGGTGGCGGACACCTGTAGTCCCAGCTACTCGGGAGGCTGAGGCAGGAGAATGGCGTGAACCGGGAAGGTGGAGCTTGCAGTGAGCCAAGATCATGCCACTGCCCTCCAGCCTGGGCGACAGTGCAAGACTCTGTCTCAAAAAAAAAAAAAAAATATATATATATATATATATATATATTCCTACTACACCTTCAGTGAAAATAATTTATAAACTGACCATTGAGTTTCCCCACCATAGATATTACCAGCAAGCATATGAAATGTGTCTGCTCAAAGATGAACTATTTTCTCGTCTTTCTTCTGCTGTGGACCTGAAACCATCTCATTTGTCATTTTGTAGTTGGCAGATATGGCTATCCATCTTATTTTATTGAAACTGGCGGTGATGATAACTTGCCTGAGAAAACAATTTTAGTTTCCCTGCAGCATGATGTAAATCGATTGGTGTGCAATGTATCAGACCTTGTAGCCTAATTGAGTTCAGACAATATATCTTCATTTTCCCCTGGCAGCATCGTTAGTTCTTAAGTTGCTGCTCAAGTTCTGTGAGCTCTGAATTGTATCATGGGTTTTTGTCAGAGTGTCCGATACAGCCCTGGGGGTTCCTAAGGAATGCTGTGGGGCTGCTGAGTAGACACTCCCCACAGTGGGAAATGTCACCCCTGCTGCTACATATGCCAGGGGCAGAAGTTTCTACAGCATTTCCCAAAGTATTGTGTTCCAATGAATATGAAGTCTTGGGTTTATGCCAGTAGCTATGAGGCTTCAGCCAGAGACCATCCTGGGGGCTCTGTATGATAAGTTTACAAACCAAGAGCACCCATGTATTCAAGCACTACTAGATTCTTATATCCAACAACAACAACAAAACAGTTATTGGGAACCTACTGTGGGCCAGGCAATTTGTTCTGAGAATGGATAGATAAGACAAAGCCTCTGCTCATAGGAAGCTTATACTTTGCAAAAGGACAGATATGAACACAAATTACTACTTTGGAGATACTACTAACAGTTGCACCTGAGTTGGTTCATTCTGCTCATGCAAGTTAACTGTTCAGTGAACAGATTTGGCTTTCCACGAACTTCCTTAATATAAATCATGATAGCTTCTCTTAAAACAGTGCAGAGTAGGCAGGGAGAGGAAGAGTTAAGGCCTAGCAAGAGACCTGCCTGCTAAACAGTGGGGCCCTGCAGGAGAGAGAGAGACAGAGCAAAGGTGGCACAAGAAAGAGGGTCTGAAGAAGGCAAATTCGGGCAGGGACTACTGTGGAGGTTTCCAGTGAGAGAAGCAGAGTACAGAAGAAGGTAATCAAGAACATATCCTGTGCTCTGGATCTACACGTGGGCCATCATCATCTACACAGCAGATGAGGGCAAGCTAGGAGAATCTAGAGATAGGAGGATGTGTTTGCAGCATCAGCAGCTACTGTAGTCATCTGCACATTAGATGATAACAAAAACTTGGGTGGCAAAATAGAAGAAATGAAGGAAGAAGAAGACTTGTAGCACCAATAAACTTTTTAGAACATTTTTGAACCAAGTTTACTGGAAGACTTGACAGCAGAAAAATAAATGTCACACTGTCTCACTTTAAAATCATGTTATATATGACCATTAGCTCATTATGTTGCATTATCACTTTTATTTTATTTGGTGATATTTGAACTTGAATTATTATTCAAAATGATCTGAATCTCATATTATGGTACAAAATTGTAGCTCAGTAAAGCAAGGAGATATAGGACTTATATCTTCTATGTAATGTAATCTTAGCATTTCAACATTTGGCACAGTACCTTGCAGATGGTCAACTCTCAATCTCAATTTATGTCATTGAATTAAACAGCATCAAATAGAATGAAAAAGAGTTAAGCAGAATTCCATCAACGGTCTAAAGGGTAATATTTGCACATTATTTTTATAAATTTGTTTTAAGTATCTAGGAAAAAGATGAATGGAAGTTGTTGATGTAAAGTTTGGGTTTATTATGGTGTCCAAATTTAATTTCCACCAAAAGTGGAGTCATATGTTAATTATTTCTAGTTGTGAGGCCACTTACTAGACAGCCCTGGGTCATCAACAAGTCATCTCTTTCAAAATCCTTTTCTCTTGCTTAGTCTAAAGACACATGTAGCTTCATATATACTCATTAGCATTCTTTTATGAAACCTCTTTCAGAAAAGAAAGCCATTTTTATACTGATGACAAGCTGTGGTTGTAATTTTTTCTTTTCCATAATTTTTGCTAGTACCCAGAAAGCAATGACACTAAAATAGACAATTTAAAATAGCAATACATTAGACATCTTTATCTAAATTGCATCCATCTATAAGCATGGATATATTATGTGTATATCTACAGACACCTTGGTAAATTTTTCGTATGTTTTTGGCTGATACTGTACACAAGCCCAGATTGGGCAAAATCTCCTGCCCTCTTCATTGTGCACCATATTTTGATGGCTGTTGTCATTGTTTTTGTCAATGGCCAGTACCTAATAATAATAGGAACACACATTGGACAATCCTAAATACACCACTTATTCCTGTAATTTCAACCAGCAGAAGCCATTACTAAAATAGGCTGTGGCAGTTGTTGGAAATTTAAAGCACATTCTCTAGAATGCTCTATTATTCCTGGGGGAAAAAAAGTTCATCATCAGTTTTTTGCCTCTTTGAGTCATGCAGATTTTATTTTGGTATTAAAGAAGTTTTTCATCTATTTCATCAGCCAAATTACCCAATAGACATGGGCTCAGTTACTACAAAGGAGAAAAACAAGTCCCTATTATCAACACTGTTCACCTGAAATAGGCATATTAATATCTAACAAGAATATATTCCTAACATGAGATAGAAAAGATTATTGGGAGAGCTTTCTCTTTTCTGATTATAAAATGTAAATCTTCAAGGTACTTTCAGGAGATCTGGGGAATGATAAAATTTTTGCAGTTTCAGAATTGAAAGGAACTTAGAGGTCCCTATTTCCCTGGGTCCAATCCCCAGCCCATTGCAAGAATCTTTTCTGTAGGCTCAGTGACAAATGGGTATTCAGCATTTGGCAGCTCCTGAGTATCTGAGATGTGGTACCCGTAGACAGCAGACCATTCCATCTCTTAGAAATCCCTTCCCTAATCCACTTTTCTGTAACTTCCAGCTATTAATCCTAGTTCTATTTCCTGAAGCCACTGCAGAGTAATACAAGCACTTCCTCTAGATGACAACTAGTGAATTGCTTGAAGGTGTGATTTACATCACCTCCCTCAAGTTTTCTTTTTCTTTCCCTTAGTTAAAATCTCTACATTGGCTGGGCACAGTGGCTTGTGCCTGTAATCCCAGCACTTTGGGAGGCTGAGGCAAGGGGTTGTGGGGATCACTTAAGGCCAGGAGTTCAAGATCAGCCTGGGCAACAAAATAGATCTGGTCTCTATAAAAAACAAATTTATAAATTAAAAAAAGAAAACTCTACTTCATTTTATTTTTTTATTTCTTTCCTTTTTGTTTTTGTTTTGTTTTGTTTTGTTTTTGTTTTTTGAGACAGAGTCTCAGTCTGTTACCCAGGATGGAGTGCAGTGGCGTGATTTCGGCTCCCTGCAACTTCCACCTCCCCAGCTGAAGTGATTCTCCTGCTTCAGCCTCCCAAATAGCTTGGATTACAGGCATGCGCTATTGGGCGAAATTCACCCCCGATATTTCACATAGGTTCTTTTCTATTTTCCCTAAGTGTCAGCTGGTCTGAGAAATAAAGGGACAGAGTACAAAAGAGAGAAATTTTAAAGCTGGGTGACTGGGGGAGATATCACATGTCGGCAGGTTCCGTGATGCCCCACAAGCCGCAAAACCAGCAAGTTTTTATTAGTGATTTTCAAAAGGGGAGGGAGTGTATGAATAGGGTGTGGGTCACAGAGATCACATGCTTCACAAGGTAATAAGATATCACAAGGTAAATGGAGGCAGGGCGAGATCACAGGACCACAGGACCGGGGTGAAATTAAAATTGCTAATGAAGTTTTGGGCAGGCATTGTCACTGATAACATCTTATCAGGAAACAGGGTTTGAGAGCAGACAACTGGTCTGACCAAAATTTATTAGGCAGTAATTTCCTCATCCTAATAAGCCTGGGAGCGCTACAGGAGACCAGGGCTTATTTCATCCCACAGCTACGACCGTAAAAGATAGCCATCCCCAAAGCGGCCATTTCAGAGGCCTCCCCTCAGGGACACATTCTGTTTCTCAGGGATGTTCCTTGCTGAGAAAAAGAATTCAGCGATATTTCTCCCATTTGCTTTTGAAAGAAGAGAAATATGGCTCTGTTCTGCCTGGCTCACCAGCAGTCAGAGTTTAAGGTGATCTCTCTTGTTCCCTGAACATTGCTGTTATCCTGTTCTTTTCTCAAGGTGCCCAGATTTCATATTGTTCAAACACACATGCTCTACAACAATTTGTACAGTTAACGCAATCATCACATGGTCCTGAGGCGACATACATCCTCCTCAGCTTATGAAGATGACGGGATTAAGAGATTAAAGTAAAGACAGGCATAGGAAATCACAAGGGTATTGATTGGGGAAGTGGTAAGTGTCCATGAAATCTTCACAATTTATGTTCAGAGATTGCAGTAAAGACAGGCATAAGAAATTATAAAAGTATTAATTTGGGGAACTAATAAATGTCCATGAAATCTTCACAATTTATGTTCTTCTGCCATGGCTTCAGCCGGTCCCTCCATTCAGGGTCCCTGATTTCCCACAACAATGCGCCACCACACTTGGCTAATTTTTGTATTTTTAGTAGAGAGGAGGTTTCACCATGTTGGCAAGGCTGGTCTCAAATGCCTGACCTCAAGTGATCCACCCACCTTGGCCTCCCAAAGTGCTGGGATTACAGGCGTGAACCACCACACCCTGCCTACTTCATTATTTTTCTAAGTGTAGTCCAACTATCCATACCTCAAAAATCACCAGGGGCTTGGCAAATGCAGATTTGTAACCTCATCTCTGATTACATTAGAATTATTCTGTCTTTGTCTCTGCTCCGCATTGGTTACAAGCATCCCAAAACCATACAGTTTAAAAATCATCACACAAATAGAAGTATTCCCAGCTGATCTCTCCTTACTAAACATCCGCAGTTCTCACTTGAGACGCATCAGAATCACCTGGAGTGCTCATGATAACACAGATTGCTGGACTCCATCTTTCAGAAAGTCTACGTAAGTCATTTTCTGATGGATCCAATTCAAGTGTTTTCATGTTTAACCAATTCTCAGTGATGCTGATGCTGCTGATTTTAAGACCACACTTTGAAAACCACTGCCCTAGATGTACCAATGCTCTTCACTTTCTCCACAGTGAATGTCAAGAGCCACAAATGTCACAGCTGAGATGCTGCTGTCCAATTAGGTCCTCACATTTCTGCAACCACCCATTGAACTGTATAGTATAAGAGTCCATTTTTGTTTGTTTTGTTCCATTTGTTCCCATAGCTGTTTATAATTAAATATATGGCATACTGCATTTAAGTACTTTATTAAAATAAACCTGTCGAAATTTGAGTATAAAAAGAAAAAGATACTTCTGTGAAAATTAAGCTGAACACAAAAACACTTGATAAAGATGTCTTAAATGTTGCTAGCAAATTAAATCTGAGTGACACTTAAAATGGGAAAGTGAGCTTCTAATGTTGTCCCATTTAATAATTTCCTGTTCTTTCATCCTGCTGTTTGCTCACTTTGTACATGTGTTCCAGTTCATCAATAGGCCTCGTAATCGTAACCAAACACAATATTTGAGATATGGCCCAGCCAGCATATATTATAACTTTTAAAATCTAACCTGAAAATTGCATCAACTTCCCCCAACCAGAGCAACATGTAATGTCATTTGGGGCTTAAAATAAAATACTTTAAAAATTGGATTTTTTTTCTCATGTGCTGAGATTACATGTCCCTAATTTTGTGTTTTGCTGCTAGGTTTCTTCGTTCATTGTTTACTTATTCACTTTAGTGTATGTTGGCTCTTTACCCTTCTTTCCACTAAATTTATCTTGTGAGTTATAGCTCATTTTTAAAGCTTTACATAATTTTTTGAAGTATTTCTTTGTTACTCAGTCTTTAAACCAAGGTTATCATATGTAGATCATACATACATTTTATCAGAATTTCATCAGTTTAATCTTTCAAATTACTGATTAAAATACCATAAGGAACAGGGAGGAAGACAGAATTCCACTGCCCTAATAGCACACTTTGAAGGTCATTGTTTGTTTAGTTATGAAGCACATCTTTCTCTTTTTCAATCACAGAGATACTGCAAATCCTGCTGCGTGCCTTACGTAGCCGAAGGTCTTTTGTTTAAAGCAAGTTCCTGTGCTCAAATCTGGTAAACTCCTTTTTAAAATGAATAAAGGAGCATCTCTATGACAGACCAAAATGTAATACAGGGTCTACAGGGAGCTCCTTGCAAACATATAATGTCGTAAGAGCAACACACCATTAGAAGAATGAGGGAGGGACTTAGGCAATTTTAACAAAAGAAATACAAACAGTACATTGATATGTGAGAAAACAAAAAAGAAAACCTATTGTTATTAATACCCAAGTAAAATTCAGAAAGCAGCACAATCACTTTTTCCTCCAAATAGATGTGTTTTGTTAATATGATAACATCTAGTATCAGAAAGGGGTTAAGAAAATAGGTGATCTCATACAGTGCTCATAAAAGTCTGAATTGCTATCACTTTTGTCGAATAGAATTTGACAGAATGTGCCAGAAGGTCAAAAATCTCTCACTTTGAATCAGTAATTCAAGTTCTAGTAGTTTAATCCTAAAAAAAACCCAGGTGTTCCCACATATAAAAAATATTTGTTGCATTATATAATTGTCAAATATAGAACACAATCTGAAAGTACAACAATTGTGAATTTCTTAACTGTATCAAGACATATCTACTGTTGGAATGTTATACGAATGTTAAAAATTATATTTTAAAGCATTGGCTTTTGTTTCTTTTAATGATACCCATATTTGACACATTTTTTAAAAAATATTAATTTTTCTATTGTTCCTTGCAGAGCAGGGCTAATCCATAGGCAGTGTGCCCAGAGTAGCCACATTTGATCGACACATACATGTGTTTGTGCGTATTTGTATATGTGTGTGTGTACATATATATGGTTACTGTATAAACTGTATTTGTGTGTGTTTATATGTACATAGAACTGAAATAACAATACATTCCCTTATGTGCAATGCAATCTGATTTTTAAAATGTATTCTGTACTTAATTTTTTTCTAAATGTTGGTTGCATCTCTCTAAATTGATTTCCTTACCAACTAATGCATTTAGTTGGTAAAACAACATTATTTTTGAAGAAACATCCATAACATGGGTAATTGAACAAAATGTAATCTCTTTAATACACACGTTATTCAGAATATGACATAGTACCATGCACAGTATAATTTCAGTTTTGTAAAAAAAATTTTAAACATGTATCTGTGTATAAAAAGGTAGAAGGACATAATAGAATGTAAATGATCATATTTCAAGTAATATTTATTTCTTCTCTTTTTTCTATGTTTTCTTCATTTTCTTTAGTGAACACATACTGGTTTTATTATGGAAAAATATTTTAAGAAAATGAAAGTATTTGGCTATACTTATTCTTTCTCAATTCTCTTAGGAAGCTAGTGACCAGTACTTAAATGTATATGTGTTCATAAGCTATCTCTTTTTAGTACGTAGTACTAGAATATTTTTCAGCATTCAACATTAAATATGACAGTTTCAAAACTAACTACAGAATCCTCTTCCTCTTGTCCTTGCCATCTTAATTCTCAAGAATTCGAGCTTATCTTTAACATTCTAGGAACTCACCCACCTCCACAGTTTTATAAAAATTATTCACTATGTTTCAGCAAACTCACTTGTAAGTTTACCTGGAAGAACTGATTTCATTTAAATTGTGCAAGAGCTTCCCTAACACCTAGCCTAGCTTGAATTCCTTCTTAGCACCTGCCTACTTGAAAATATTCTGATTCTATTAGTCAATCTGTTAACATTTAGGGTGTGACCAGTGACCCCCATCCCTCTCTCCACCATGTCTCTCCTCCCCCAAATTAAAAGTTAATTTTCCCAAGACCTTGGAATCTCATTACCCTGATTTCTAGAAGTTTATTCCCTTAATGAGATTTGCAGCCAAGGAGCTCAGCTCTTGCAAATAATCAACTACTTATTTGGAGACTGCTATAATATTAATGTTTAACAGCTGTCCGTTATCACTTCATCAGGCCAGATGACTTACAAAATCACGTAAGAAGGCATATAAAAGTGCTAATGCAGGTTCTACCAGCAAGAAGAATTCAAAGAGGGAACCGGAGGAGTTTAGGGATAGTTAGAAAGCTTTAGCAAGGACATAGATAGGAAGTTCATCTTTGAAGAGTGGATAGGGTCTGAACAGGTACATGCACAAACAGGTGACCAGCGGAGAGAGCAGCAGGCACAAGGGCCAGCCAAAGAACCACTTCGTGGGTAACAGTAAAGAGTCTGAAAGGCCACGGAACCCAGGTAGTGAAGGATTTGGAAATCCAGGCAAAGATGTTTATATTTATAAGTGAAACGGGAATTTTCAACATGAGAGTAAAATAACAAACATCTAGCATCCCTTAGTTTAGACTCTGCTAAGAGCACTGCCTATCCCTGGTTCAATAAGTGGAAAAGGCATTTTTCAACATGAGAGTAAAATAATAAACAGATAACATCCTTTAGCTCAGACTCTCCTAAAAACATTCCCTATCTCTGGTCCAATAGCATCTCATTTTACCACCATATGGTCAGTTCTTTTTATTAACATAGCTGTGGGGTTGAGCATCTGGTGAGACAGTTGGATCACATAAACCAGTGGAAGGGCAACGATAAGATTTTACCTTTCTTATCCCCAGTGCCTCTCCATAGTCTCTGCAGCCTACAAGGCACTCAAGAATATCCATCCCAGTCTACAGCAACATATGGGAGAGACTCGGAGGCAGTGGCTGGAGACAAACAAGCAGGAATTGCAAAAGGATAGCGAAAATGGAGGTTAAATTTTTTTTCAAAAAAAAAAAAATCTTTTTTTTTTTGAGGCGGAGTCTTATTCTGTTGCCCAGGCTGGAGCGCAGTGGAGCAATCTTGGTTCACTGCAAGCTCCGCCTCCCGGGTTCACGCCATTCTCCTGCCTCAGCCTCCTGAGTAGCTGGGACTACAGGCGCCCGCCACCACGCCCGGCTAATTCTTTTTGTATTTTTTTTTTGTAGAGACGAGGTTTCACTGTGTTAGCCAGGATGGTCTCAATCTCCTGACCTCGTGATCTGCCCGCCTCTACCTCCCAGAGTGCTGGGATTACAGGCGTGAGACATCGTACCCGGCCTCAAAAAAAATCTAAAAGATGTTGATAACTTTCTACTCTTCTCTGTAATCTGTTTCATAGCCACCCTTTAAAAATCTGCCCCTTTATTTCTGCTCAATCTCTTCAGTGTCCTGTATACTAGAAAAGACTACTGTGTTTTTTTGTTTTGTTTTGTTTTTTTGTTTTTTTTTCGAGACAGAGTTTCGCTTTTGTAGCCCAGGCTGCAGTGCAATGGCACAATCTTGGCTCACTGCAACCTCCACCTCCCGGGTTCAAGTGATTATCTTGCCTCAGCCTCCCGAGTAGCTGGGATTACAGGCACCTGCCACGATACTCGGCTATTTTTTTTTTTTTTTTTTTTTTTTTAGTAGAGACAGGGTTTCACCATGTTGGCCAGGCTGGTCTTAAACTCCTGACCTCAGGTGATCCGCCCACCTCGGCCTCCCAAAGTGCTGAGATTACAGGCATGAATCACCGCACCTGGCCATTCTGTGTGTTTTTATGACAGCAATAAAATAAGTGGGCTTAGTAACTAAAGCAAACATAGCTTCTCTCTATTTCCTTTGTGAAGAAGGGATTGCAGGAGAAGAATGTAGGAAGTTGCTTCCATCTCCCTAATGCCCCAGGCTCTCAGGCTATAGCTAAGAGCCTGGCCTTCATCAATTCCTACTGACTCAGGGCTCCTTACCATCAACTTTCTGTTATTACTTTAAGACCAAGAACGATTTTTTTTTATTTTTTATTTTTTATTTTTTTTGAGACAGAGTCTCGCTCCGTCACCCAGACTGGAGTGCAGTGGCGCAATCTCGGCTCACTGCAACCTCTGTCTCCTGGGTTCAAACAATTCTCCTGTCTCAGCCTCCTGGGTAGCTGGGATTACAGGCACGCACCACCATGCCCTGCTTTTTTTTTTTTTTTAAAGTAGAGATGGGGTTTTGCCATGTTGGCCGTGCTGGTCTCAAACTCATGACTGCAAGTGATCCATCCACCTCAGTCTCCCAAGGTACTATGTTTACAAGCATGAGCCACTGTGCCCAGGCCAAGAATGATGTTTTTAAAGTCAGTTAAAATTTATACCTTTGATAGCTCACTTGGAAAAGTTAAGGACAAATACATAGGTTGTTATTTTTGTTTTGAGAGTGTTGTCCCTAATTATAACAAAATCTCTGCAAACCATTTAGGACAGAAAGGAATTGGTTTGGTTGAGGGGAAGTTTTATTGTGACACACTAGAGAACTCTCTTTGTTTATGTAATTATTGTATTATAGACTAGGATGATGCTCTCTGTTCACTTACGTGCCAGCTGAAGTCTCAGGTTTATTTTGTCCTGAAACTGATTATATGCTGCTTTTTCTAGCATATTTCCATTAACCAGATATTACAAAATCTCACAGGATCTTGAGTTTTTGTTATGTTCTGAGTATATTTGTCTTTCTCTATAGATTTGTTTCCACTATAATCTGTTTCCTTTAGAATCTGACAGGAAGAGTTTAAATCACATAACACATATGTAATCATTGGGTTAAAAATAAGTATTATTCGCATAGAATTATTGTAAGCAATTTCGTTTTTTAAAAGTGCCATTGATAGGGTTTGTTAGCCCTTTTCATTTCTGGAATTAAGACTTTAAAACTTAGCTATAAAAATGTCTCATATTTGGTCGGGCACAGTGTCTCATACCTGTAATCCTAGCACTTTGGGAGACTGAGCTGGGAGGATCGCTTGAGCCCAGGAGTTTGAGATCAGACTGGATGACATAATGAGACCTCATCTCTACTAAAAATAAAAAATCAGCGAGGTGTGGTGGTGCACACCTGTGGTCTCACCTACTCGGGAGGCTGAGGCAGGAGGATCGCTTGAGCCTGGGAGGTCGAAGCTGCAGTGTGTCATGGTCACACCACTGCACTCTGACCTGGGTGATAGAGCAAGACCCTGTCTCGAAAAATTTAAAAAATAGTTTTTAAAAACCATTTCTCAGATTCTTCAATTTGGAAAAATTGGGAAAAGATCATTGGCAGGAGCTGGTTCCATACAGCATCCAAGGAACTGCACTGAAAATGATTGTTCCAAAATGGCTGACATGCAAATACCGTACCACGTGTACTTCCCTGGAAGTGATCGTGTTCTTTTTAACTTAATACATTGCAGTGGAGGAGTGAGCAACCAAAAGTATACACACAATCATTTCTTTGTGCACTAGAGTAGGGCTTATGCATTTTCCTTTCCACTATGTGAATAAGGCAGGATTTGCACATGGTTTACAAATAGATCCAAGTGTAAATCTTCCAATCCAGATGGCCTATTGGGCATCCATGCTGTCTGCTTTGACCTCAGTGCTGCACTTAAGATCTCTTTTTTTTTTTTTGAGACGGAGTCTCACTCTATTGCCCAGGCTGGAGTACAATGGCGCGATCTCAGCTCACTGCAACCTCCTCCTCCCAGGTTCAGGTGATTCTCCTGCCTCAGCCTCCCGAGTAGCTGGGATTACAGGTGACCGCCACCATGCCCAGCTAATTTTTGTATATTTAGTAGAGACAGGGTTTCACTATGTTAACCAGGCTGGTCTTGAACTTCTGACCTCAAGTGATCCACCTGCCTCGGCCTCCCAAAGTGCTGGGATTACAGGCGTGGGCCACCACACCCAGCCCAAGATCTGTTAACTGTTAGTTGTACCCAAGTTTGCCTTTTAGTTGTCTCAATATACAAAACAAATATCCTTATTGCACATTTGATAAATCTATACCACACACAGAGGTTTTGTTTGTTTGTTTGTTGAGACAGAGTCTCGCTCTGTCACCCAGGATGAGTGCAGTGGCGCAATCTCACCTCACTGCAACCTCCGCCTCCTGGGTTCAAGCGATTCTCCCTGCCTCAGCCTCCTGAGTAGTTGAGATTGCAGGCACCTGCCACCACACCTGGCTAATTTTTGTATCTTTAGTAGAGATGGGGTTTCACCATGTTGGCCAGACTGGTCTCGAACTCCTGACCTCAGGTGATCCGCCAGCCTTGGCCTCCCAAAGTGCGGGGGTTACAGGCCTGAGCCACCTCGCCTGGTCCACACAGAGTTTTGTTGTTAAAATACACCTGTATGTTTTCTCATTTTTGCCCATTGTTATGCTAATATCACAAAGCCCCAGGTTTACTGTGGGCCTGTATTTCTCTCTGGGCTGCTATGAAAAAGTATTTTTTAATTATTTCCTGGGACAAGAGTTTGTCGGGCTTAACTTGTATCATCCAATTTTTAATGAAGTCCATATCAGGCCAAGTACTAGTAGCTTTGAGGATTTGAGGATATTTGAAAAAATAAAAACAAAACCATAGAAAGAGAACCATGTTTTTTTTTTTTTATAAATTGATAAAGACAACAGTAGATGTCATTGTTCAAATAAAAAAATGACTGTATCTGAGTTTCAAATGGCTTCCAATTTCAATGTAACTATTTCACTCTTTTTTTTTTTTTTTTTTTGAGACAGAGTCTCGCTCTGTCACCCAGGTTGGAGTGCAGTGGTGCGATCTCGACTCACTGCAACCTCCACCTCCCGGATTCAAGCGATTCTCCTGCCTCGGCCTCCTTAGTAGCTGGGACTACAGGCACGCACCACCACGCCCAGCTAATTTTTGTATTTTTAGTAGAGATGGGGTTTCAACATGTTGGCCAGGATAGTCTCGATCTCTTGACCTCATGATCCACCTGCCTTGCTCTCCCAAAGTGCTGAGATTACAGGCGTCAGCCACCGCGCCCGGCCCATTCTTCTTCCCAGAATTTTGAACCAAATCACATTAATCTGTAGTTTTAAAAGAAACAGTTTTATATCAGCATCTTTCCCCAGTCTTCTACTATATAAGAATTCATTCCTGTGCCTCAACAACGTGTACTGATGTGTACCTTCCTTCATCCCACAAAGAGGAAGCACTTTTTTTTTTTTTTTTTTTTTTTTTTGAGACAGAGTCTCACTCTGTAGCCCAGGCTGGAGTACAGTGGCCTATCTTGGCTCACTGCAACCTCCGCCTCCCAGATTCAAATGATTCTCCCACCTCCCGAGTAGCTGGGACTACAGGTGTGCCCCGCCACACCCAGCTGATTTTTGTATTTTTAGAAGAGATGGGGTTTCACCATGTTGGCCAGGCTGGTCTTGAACTCCTGGCCTCAAGTGATCCACCCGCCTCGGCCTCCCAAAGAGCTGGGATTACAAGCATGAGCCACCATGCCCAGCCAAGTAAGCACTTTTTAAATATAAATTGTTCAGTCTCAGAATAGGTATATATGCACATGTGTATACAATTCTATTCATAGCACAGAGACTACAGTAGTAAACACAGGAAATGGCATTGTATTTAAGAACTGAATCTTTTTTATTTCAACATCATTTGATTAGCTTATTGCCCAGGATTGGGGTGGAAAAGCAGTATGATTTTAGCTTTTAATTTATAACTTTCTGTCCTTTTAGAGTCAGAATAGTGACTCTGGGTTTGGGTATCTTAATGAAGAGAGCATATAATGATAGTGTTAATAATTATAATGATAGTATAATGAGGTAATAGCCAACGTAAACTGAGTGCACAAAATGATCCATAAATAATTTTAAGCAATTTACTTGTATCATTCTTCACAACAAAATTTGAAAATAAGTACTATTATTATCCTCATTTTACAGATGAGGAAATAGGCATAGAAGTGGAGGCAGCATTTCAGTCCGTTATAGTCAGCTATAACAAAATGCCACAAACTGGGTGGGTAGCTTATAAGCAAAATAAATTTATCTCTCACAGTTCTAGAAGCTGAGAAGTCCAAGATCAAGATGCTGGCAGATTCAGTGTCCGATGAGGGCCCCCTTCCTGGTTCATAGACAGCCATCTTCCTACTGTGTCCTCACCTGGTGGGAGGGGCAAACAAGCTTCCTTCGGCCTCTTTTATAAGAGCACTAGGCCTGACGCAGTGGTTCATGCCTCTTATCCCAGCACTTTGGGAGGCCAAGGCAGGTGGATCACCTGAGGTCAGGAGTTTGGGACCAGGCTGGCCAAAATGGCAAAAGCTGGCCCTACTAAAAGTACAAAATTAGCCGGGCGTGGTGGTGCATGCCTGTAATCCCAGCTACTCAGGAGGCTGAGGTAGGAGAATCGCTTGAACCCAGCAACTCAAGCAATTTGAGGCCCTCCAAAGGTAGGGGCCTTTGGAGGCGGAGGTTGCAGTGACCCGAGATTGCGCCATTGCACTCCAGTCTGGGCAACAGAGTGAGACTGTCACACACACACACACACACACACACACACACACACACAAAGAACACTAATCCCATTAATGAGAGCTTCACCCTCATACATGGTCACTTCGCAAAGCCCCCACCTCCTAATAGCATCACACTGGGGAGTAAGCTTTCAACATGTGAGCTTTGAGGGGGACAGACAGACCAGAGCAGGCAGGAGTGCATATTTTATTTATAAAGCAGGGTCTGTTGTTAATAAACTGTTTTCTCTTTTATTGTTGTTTCTCCCATAAAGTGAATAAACATAAGCCTAGTGGGAAATGCCAGCATTAAACTTTGATATCAGCCGGGCGCAGTGGCTTGTGCCTGTAATCCCAGCACTTTGGGAGGCCAAGGCGGGTGGATCACAAGGTCAAGAGATCGAGACCATCCTGGCCAACATGGTGAAACCCCATCTCTACTAAAAATAACAAAAATTAGCCAGGCGTGGTGGCAGGTGCCTGTAGTTACAGCTACTCTGGAGGCTGAGGCAGGAGGATTGCTTGAATCCGGGAGGTGCAGGTTGCAGTGAGCCGAGATTTCGCCACTGCACTTCAGCCTGACGACGGAGTGAGACTCCGTCTCAAAAAAACAAAACAAAACAAAAACCACTTTAATATCTTCTACTCTCAGATGCTGAAAGCTAAGTTGTGGACCCTTTTTCCCAATTAAGAAAAAATTAAGAGAAAATGGTGCATGATTTTCATTGCTGCTGTTCATATCAGCAAAAGGGCCCTTATCAGTAATTATATGGTGTGTAAAGACAGGTTGATTATGGAATTATTAATCTTTTCTTAAACATATTGTCTTTTTCCAAAAATGTGGCTGCTATGAACTGAATATTTGTGATCCCTTCCCGCTCAAGTTCACATGTTAAATCCTAATCTCAAGGGTGATGGTATCAGGAGCCAGGGCCTTTGGAAGGTCATTAGATCATGAAGGTGATGGTATTAGGAGCCAGGGCCTTTGGAAGGTCATTAGATCATGAAGGTGATGGTATTAGGAGCCAGGGCCTTTGGAAGGTCATTAGATCATGAAGGTGATGGTATTAGGAGTCAGGGCCTTTGGAAGGTCATTAGATCATGAAGGTGATGGTATTAGGAGCCAGGGCCTTTGGAAGGTCATTAGATCATGAAGGTGATGGTATTAGGAGTCAGGGCCTTTGGAAGGTCATTAGATCATGAAGGTGATGGTATTAGGAGTCAGGGCCTTTGGAAGGTCATTAGATCATGAAGGTGATGGTATTAGGAGTCAGGGCCTTTGGAAGGTCATTAGATCATGAAGGTGATGGTATTAGGAGTTAGGGCCTTTGGAAGGTCATTAGATCATGAAGGTGAAGCCCTTATGAACAGGAGCCTTTATCAGATAGGTCCCAGGGAGCTTATTTCCTTCTTCCATTATCTGAGGACACAACGAGAATGCACCATTGATGAACCAAGGAGAAGGCCCTCACTAGACAAAGAATCTATAAGTGTCTAGATCTTGGACTTCCCAGTCCTATAAGAAATAAATTTCTGTTGTTTATAAGCCACTTAGTCTATCGTTTTCTGTTATAGCAGCCCAAACAGACTAAGGCAATGGCCATGAGTGATGATGTATCTCCCATCACCGCTGACCCCTTTCTAAAACTGAGCCACATTAGGTAGCAAATCAAGAGTATTGCTATGACTGTGATTTATTACTAAAATATATGTTTCCAATTTTTTAATTTTTACTTATCTTCTGAGATGTACAAAAATTCATTAAATAACTGGCCCACATAATTTTATAATAGAACATATAAAATAAGACATGAAATGAAAACCAGCAGTTTTGCATTCCGATCAAACGTTTCAAATTTCTATTTTTTTTTTTGAGACAGAGTCTCGCTCTTGTCACCCAGGCTGGAGTGTAGTGGCGCGATCTCAGCCCACTGCAACCTCCGCGTCCTGGGTTCAAGTGATTCTCCTGAGTAGCTGGGATTACAGGTGCCCGCCACCACGCCTGGCTTATTTTTGTACTTTTAGTAGAGACGGAGTTTCACCATGTTGGCCAGGCTGGTCTCGAACTCCTGACCTCAGGTGATCTGCCCACCTCAGCCTCCCAAAATGCTGGGATTACAGGCGTGAGCCACTGCGCCCGGTCTCAAATTTCTTATCTCTCTAGAGTACTTGTGATTAACAGCAACACTGTTGACTTACAAGATTTCTAAAACATAAGTATGTGCTTTATGTAATCATATGATTTGTGGAATCAGAATAGAACAGATTTTTTCTTGTATTAGGGTTGGAAGAAGTCAGGTAGGAAAGAACAGGAAGACATCAACAGCTAGAAACAGGGAACAAGTAGACTTTTATCTTCAGATATATAATTGGCACCTTTTTATCCATTATTATGTAAGATAGGGAACAGACTCAATCTTGAGTTTCATGAATCACACCCTCAAAAACTGCATTTTATTTAATTAAATCGTATCCTCTACATTTCTAGATATTTATAAATGTGACATTAATTTCAGCCATTGAACAAGAATGCACTCACATTATCTTTCAGAGCAGCTTACTAAGATTTGTTGTAACATGTTTATAATCAGTTGGGAACCTAGGTGTTGCTTCATTGCTAAGCCTTGATGGAGCATTTATGGATATGTTTTATGATTTGCTAATCTGTGCTGTGAAACCATCAGTCTGTTTGCAGTGGGGAGGAAGGATTTGGGAGGGGTAGGAGGGTGGAGGGAGGGAGGATAGTTTTGTTTGACGTGTCAGTGGAGGGAGGGAGGGGGGAAGGCAGGTTGGTCATGAGGTTTGAACTAAGATGGACTTAAAGGGTTCAGTGTTGACCTTGCACAAAAATCAGCTACAGTAAATAGTTGCTACTACTAAGCAGGTTTTCAGTGATCGTACTTGATTTTCTTTCTTTTCTCTTGTTTTATATATTTTCTCAGGGGAAATCTCTCACGTCCAAGAGGTTAACAAGCCTTGCTCAGTCTTACTAAACGGATCATCTTGTAGCATGAATGCAGACTGGAGTCACTGCACACACTTTGTAGCTCAATGTTGTGACCTGGAGCAGAGGACATTAGAACAAGATGTTGCATGAGCAAAGGACCTAAATTGTTATTTTTGTGTGTACATTCCATCTCCAATGGACTCTTCCGTCTCAATGCCTCCATTCCAAACTGTTGTCTGCTTTCTTTCTCCTTCTACTATGCTGGATCTGTGTCTCTTCCTTTTTAACAAGTTCAAGTGAAGTAAAACCTTTTCTTTTTTTCCTTCTTTCTCTCTCTCTCTCTCTCAAAGCTTCAGTTAGACACACAGTTCACTGAAAATTCAGTCAGTCAAAAACTGGAAGAACTGTAAAAGAAAAAAGTATATATCAATAAGTATACATGTGGCTTCACATTTATTAAACAATAAATTCCGCACAGAAAGTTTCATTTCACCAATGTGTCACAGTCAGAAACAAACTCATGTCTTCGTCTGTTGTCTGTACATTCTCCGTTAATGTTTCTCGCATTTATTTTTATACCATATTTAAAGAAGAAACACCTTTTACTCCAAATGTATTAAAGTTGATCCCTTCTCTGTAAATTTGTGTATGTTTATATTGTTGTTTTATCTTTCATTAAAAGATGCAGAATCTCATTGCTTTTGTAACTTTTGACTTCCATGCTAACTAAAAAGGAAAATGCTGAGAAATCCACAACCCACTACCGCAGAGTTAAATTTAGGTTGTCACCTTGAAATTTATTTCAAGGTTTCAAGACAAGCTTGGATAGTACGGAAGCCAGGGGCAGATGGAAATATTTTTTGGAGGCTTACCTGAGACTTAGTAATCCTTTTTCTCCCATGGAAGAACAACACAAATTGATGTTCCACATTTTCAAAGCTATTTAAAAGGCCTTTCTGCCTCATGATGAATATGCATCTGTATATTTTGCAAATTAATATTTCTGTTTGAATTAAGCTTGAGTGTGACTTATTAAATCAGGTACTGATTTGTTCTTTAAAACACAATTCTAAAAATATCATAGCTCAGTGTCTCTTAACTTTTTGGAGGTTACAGATTATTTTGAGAATACAGTCACCTCTTGGCATCCCTGGGAAATAATTGGTTCCTGGACCTCCTCAGATACCAAAATCCACAGATGCTCAAGTCACTAATATAAAATGGTGTAGTGTTTGCATATAAACTACGTAAATCCTCCCACATACTAAGTCATCTCTAGATTATTGTAATATCTGATACAATGTAAATGCTATTAGTTGTTATACCGTATTTTTAATTAATACAACTTTAATTGTTGCATTATTATTTTTATTGTTGGAAGGTTGCTTGAATCTAAAGCTATGGAACCTGTGGACGAGGAGGGCCGACTGTGTGATGTAATTAGTAAAATTTAGTGACGCTTACTAAGTACCTGCCACTTCATTAAGAGTTTTCTGTGCCCTCAAAATTCTCACATTTAACCATCACAGCAGTCCTATAAGATCGTTTCTGCAATTTTGAGAACACTGAAGCAGAGAGAGGTTAAGTAACTTGTTTGAAGTCACCTACCTAAGTAGTGGATTGGGATTATACAGGAGGAAAAAAATCTTTTGCTTCTACCCTTCTAGGTTCTTAGCTGTGGCTCTGTAACAACAGAAAAGCATACAAATTTACGTAACAGAAGTATTTTGTGCCAGGTGCGGTGGCTCACGCCTCTAATCCCAGCACTTTGGGAGGCTGAGGCGGGTGGATCATCTGAGGTCGGGAGTTTAAGACCAGCCTGGCCAACATGGTGAAACCCTGTCTCTACTAAAAATACAAAAATTAGCTGGGCGTGGTTGCTGGCACCCGTAATCCCAGCTACTTGGGAGTCTGAGGCATGAGAATCACTTGAACCCAGGAGGCAGAGATTGCAGTGAGCTGAGATCGTGCCATTGCACTCCAGCCTGTGCTACAAGAGCAAAACTCCGTCTCAAAAAAAAAAGTATTATGTGACATGGGAGACTTCATTAAGAAATGAATACCTTAAAAAATGATTAAACCTGAGTGTTTTCTTATACTAGGTTTGATGAAGAGTTGTGGGAAAATGTGACAGGGCAGAGGCGTAGGTGCTAAGGGCAGTAAACTGGGGGAAACTGAGCAACGCCTGTTAATTCAGATTCCCTTCAGCGCCCCTCCATCTTCAGGGAGAAGAATGCTCCATTTCTCTGGGTATAGGGAGAGCATCTCTCACAGGAGGGTCTTATGACCTGCTTCAAGGGAAGGCCAGAGAGTCCTTCCTGAACCTGCCATTTCTCAAATTTCTTCAGCTTAAAATACTCAATATGCCAAGGTACCGTATTTTGGAATAGAACTCACAAAGCCCATCATCATATAAATCTAGGCAGTCTGACTGCAGGGTACACTATAGTGCCCACCTATCCATTATACCACAAACTTCTTTTGATAAAAATTATGTGAAAATTTACGTAAACTCACAGTTGTACTGAATTTTAGGATATTCACAGACTAATCTCTGTAGCTCATCCATGGACCCCCAAGTAAACAACTTGACTCACTTTAAGGGCTGGATCAGTGGCAAAAAAAGGTTACCCAGCCAGGAGATGGGCCTGACCTGTCTGCTTTTGCATAAACCAAGGCATTGCAGACTCTGGTTATTTAAAAAAGAAACCAAGTTATTAATGCCTGTTACTTACTGTAGATAAATTTAAATTCTGAAAAAATTTATTATCATTGGTGATAAATCAGCAGTGGAGTCTGTTGGTTATTTAATCAAACTGTCACAAAACGGAAGAGACTTCATAGGAGAAATTTGTATATAAGCTATAATCTAAACTGTAAACATTTTTTTAATAAAAAAGAAGAATCCATAAAATGCAAATAAATTAAATTGATAGACTTTATCCCTTAAAATCACTTAATTCAGGACAGTCTTGGACAGACAGCACTGAAGTTAGATTAAAAGTCTAGTTAGTAGAAACATTCTTTTAAGGAAAACAATAATCCTATAAGACGAATATGGCGTTAAAACAATGAGCCTTGCACAAATACGATTGGTTAT
Organism: Homo sapiens; assembly: GCF_000001405.40. Lineage (NCBI taxonomy): Eukaryota > Metazoa > Chordata > Mammalia > Primates > Hominidae > Homo > Homo sapiens. Next base: position 240,773,108 of record NC_000001.11, on the reverse strand, counting down.
TTCAGTGGTTATCTTTCACAAGCTATCAGTCCTTAGAAGTCCATCCTTCCTGGTAATTCCAAATCATGGAAAAATTCGTCCTTATTGCCATTTTCAATCGTAGAAAAAGACGGCAGAAAAGAGAAACCCCAAGTCAAGAATTCCTAATTTAAAAAGTTACTCAAGTTACTCAAGCCTAATGACTCCATTTAATGTGGCCTAGACACGACTCACATACAAAGCAAGAGTATTTCAGGAGAAGCACAGAAAAGTTTTGGAGTTGCTTGCAGTTCACTCCAGTAAGCCCTTGGCATCTGCCTCGCACCCCATGCTAAAATCATTTGATCTATAAGGCATAGAATAAAAATCTCTCAAGTTTCTATTTAATAAAATTGTTTTTAAGTTTTTTTTTAACTTTGAGACCATCAAAAAAGTTATCCTCCAATAAACCAGAGTTTCTACACCACGTTGCAGAGCTATTTTCATCCTCTAAATTGCATTGGCCCAATTCTCCTCTGAGCGATGTTACAATAATGTGTTCCGTGGATCTGCACAGGATTTTCTGCTTGAATCAAAATAACAGAAATATGGCCAGCAACCTTAGCTAAGCTGTGTCCAAAAATAAATGAAGGCACAAACCCTCCCTCTTCGTAATGAGTGTGTGAGATTTGATCTTGCTACTCAGGACTCACAGCTGTGCCCTTGGTTCTCCTGGTTGACTGCTCACTTCTCTTTACATGATGGTTTATGAATAATTCTGGTCTACTGAGAGAGGCAAGTCTTGGCTGCTAGCACGCATTTAGTCTAGCTGCATGCACAGATTGTCTCCACACAGAAGATTCTGTGTCCTTAAATACACATTTGAAAGGGCACATTGAATATTTAGTTGTTTTACTGTTGTCTGTAACTACCTCTTTGCACATTTTAGTAGCCCTCTAAAACGTCAGCAGGAAACAGCCAAAGCTACCAATCCATTCCCTAGGCCATTTTAAGAAATAGTGCATAATAATGAAGAATTTAAAGAGCATAAAGAATAGAGAGGAACTACATTCATGTATTACACACACACAAAAAAGGTATCTTATACATTTTATTGTACAACCATACATTTGTACTTTTTATTGAAAATGTTGTGCTCTAGAACTCATTTTTTAAAAGACATCAAATTTTGTATCAAACATAAGATGCTTCCATTTAAAAATCAGATTAGAAGAAAAACTTGCAGACGCCCTTAGATATTTTGAGGAGTTTTTGGAGCTGATATGTGCTTTGTGTTTGTAACTTCATTTTCAAAAAAGTCATTAGAGGCTGGGTAGACATGAATACTTCTTGATTAAAAAATTGATCAACAGGCATTGTGGAAAGGAGGCGGCAGCATCCCGGGCGGGTGGGAGATGCCCCAGAGGCAGCGGTGGTGGCGGTAAGTCCTCCCGGCCACTCACAGCGCTGTGGAGCAGCGTTCCCAGCCCAGCCTCGGACCGGGGTGCCCCTCCTCGAGGCTTCCCGTCAGCCTCCTCCAGGCTTCTCCTCCGCCCGCCCCTGCCCTGCGCGCTGGCTGGCCTGGCTGCCCTCCCCAGCCCCAGGGATGATCAGCTAAACATGATCAATGAGGTGCCAAACATTTTGAGACATCTGGGGTCTGTAGAACTAGTCCTTATAGGACAGTTCTATGAGATAATGCAATACCAACAATATTTGCTCTTACTGGTCATTTGAACAACCCACCTAGTAGACCCAGAAAACGAATAAAAGAATTGTTGATGAAACTTCTGAACAGGAACAAAAACATAAAGAAACCAACAACAGCAATGCTCCGAACCCCAGTAAAGAAGGGAGTGAAGGGCCAGATGAGGACATTTTACCTCTAACCCTTGAAAAGAAGGAAAACAAAGGATACCTAAAATCTCTGTTTGAAATCTTGATTCTGATGGGAAAGCAAAACATACCTCTTGATGGACAGGAGGCTGATGAAATCCCAGAAGGTCTCTTTACTCCAGATAACGTGCAAGCCGTGCTGGAGTGCTGGATAAATTCTGGTCAAGAGGTCCTGAGAAAGCAGTTTGAGACAACAGCAGTTAACATGTTGTTTTATTAAAAACACAGCAGAGGCAGATGCTAGAGATCTGTGAGAGCTGCATTCGGGAAGAATGCAGGGAAGTGAGAGACTCACACTTCTTTTCCATTATAACTGACGATGTAGCGGACATGGCAGGGGAAGGGCACCTACCTATGTTGGTGAGATTTGTTGATGAGTCTCGGTGAGGTTTGTTGATGAGTCTCAAAACATAAGAGGGGAATTTGTAGGCTTCCTGCCTTATGAAGCTGATGCAGAAGTTTTGGCTGTGAAATTTCACACTATGATAGCTGAGAAATGGGGATTAAATATGGAGTACTGTCATGACCAAGCTTACATTTTGTCTACTGGATTTTCTTCCAAAATGAAAGTTGTTGCTTCTAGACTTTTAGAGAAATATCCCCAAGCTATCTACCCACTCTGCTCTTCCTGCGTCTTAAATATGTGGTTGGTAAAATCAGTACCTGTTATGGGAGTATCTGTTGCATCAGGAACAATTGACGGAGTTTGTTCTTTTTTTCCATCAATCACCACAACTGCTTTTAGAATTTGACAATGTAATTTCTGTTCTTTTTCAGAACAGTAAAGAAAGGGACAAAGAACTGAAGGAACTCTGCCATTCTCAGTGGACAGGCAGGCATGATGTTTTTGAAATTGTAGTGGAACTTCTGCAAGCATTTGTTTTATGTTTAGATGATATAAATAGTGACACAAATATTAGATGGAATAACTGTAGCTGGCTGAGCATTTGTACTCTGCAGTGCAGTAACAGATTTTGACTTCATTGTTACTATTGTTGTTCTTAAAAATGTCCTATCTTTTACCAGAGCCTTTGGGAAAAATCTCCAGGGGCAAACCTTTGATGTCTTCTTTGCAGCCAGTAGCTTGACTGCAGCACTGCGTTCACTCAGTGAAGTGACGGAGAATATTGAAGTTTATCAGGAATTTTGATTTGAGGAAGCCACAAATTTGGCAACCAAACTTGATATTCAAATGAAACTCCCTGGGAAATATTGCAGAGCTTACCAGCGTAACTTGGAATCTCAGCTAACCTCTGAGAGTTACTATAAAGAAATCCTAAGTGTCCCAACAGTGGAGCACATTATTCAGGAACTTAAAGATATAATCGCAGAACAGCACCTCCAAGCTCGTAAATGCTTATCTCTGGTACCCTCAGTCATGGGACAACTCAAATTCAATACATCGGAGGAACACCATGCTGACATGTATAGAAATGACTTACCCAATCCCGACATGCTCTCAGCCGAGCTTCATTGTTGGAGAATCAAATGGAAATGGGGAAAGACACAGAGCTTCTGTCCACCATTTATGAAGCCCTCCATCTGCCTGACATCAAGTTTTTTCCTAATGTGTATGCTAAATGACCTATTGCCAAAGGTCCTGTGTATTTCTCCTGTGATGAAGGTTGAGAATGAGCAGTATGAAAATGGACGAAAGCATCTTAAAGCATACTTGAGGAACACTTTGACAGACCAAAGGTCAAGTAACTTGGCTTAGATTAACATAAATTTTGATATAAAACATGACCTGGATTTATTGGTGGACACATATATTAAACTCTGTAACAGTAAGTCAGAGCTTCCCACAGATAATTCAGAAACCATGGAAAATACCTGAGACTTTTAAAAATAGTCTTTCTTATATTCGATATTTGGAAGGAAAGCCATAAGGTGTATGTAGGCCTTAATCACTTAATATCTTTGCCTGTAGGCCTCCATTGAATACATTAGCCATTGATAATCTACCTGTTTAAATGGCCCGTTTGAACCCGCATGCTTTGAAGACCTGTCTGTTCTTCCAGAACAGAACATTGAAAGTGTCATCTTTCACTTCCGCATGATCTCTGTGGGTGGCACTCTGCAATTGTTTAAGTCATTTGAGACACCGCATTTATTATCACTGTGGATCTCTGCTCCTTGGGTGTTGAGTTACCAATTCTTTGAAGAAACATATTTTGAAGAGGTATGAGAGGAAGGAATACATTTTATAAAATGTTACAGTGAAGCCCACAATTGACCTTTCACTAATAGGAGTTTTAAGTATGTTAAAAATCTATATTGGACAGTTACAAGAAATTACCAGAGAAAGAGACGCTTGTGAGCTTGCCAAACAAGGATTTCAGGGTAGATTTTTATCTTTCACAAATGAACTTAAAGGAACAAATGACAGTTAAAGTTTGAATGGAAGAGCCTGCTGTCGTTCCACATCTAGTTGTTGCTGTTTATATTCCTTTGTGGAGCCTACATTTTCCTAAGCTTTTTTAGTAAGTATATGTTGACCACTTCTGTTTCACGGCTAAGACAGAATCAGAGGCTATGGATACTGACAACTGATTTATCTTTTTTTTCTGTCTTTTTTCATGACTCTTACCTATTGCCTCATCTTGATTTATAAGAAAAACCCGGAAAACCTACAAATATAAGTGTATTGGCTTATCTAGAAAAATACGGAAAATATTGCAGTTATTTTTTGGTGAAGAAAATAAACTATAATTTATATCAATCTAAATAAAATGCGAATTTTGTTTAAAAAATTTGATTAATCTTGATATCTTAATCAGATTATAGGACCTTAATCATTTCACATTTATTGGGAAATAAAGCTGAGCATGTTTGATATATTTTAAAGATGAATATCATCTTCCTCCAGTATTGGTTGAAAGGATGAAGATAATGTAAATCATCAAGCACAGTGCTTGATACATAATGGATAAAGCAATGTTTATCTTACCTGCTTCCTTTCTTTTTCTCCAAAAGGTCATCGTTGCAGAAAGATAAAAGAAATATCCACACATCCTTCCTACCTGGGGTGGGGTCAAGGATGAAGTTTAGGAGGCCAAAGTTGAGTGGTGCGGATCAGGATCCCAGAGATCACAGGAAACACCTAGAGCACAGTCAGATATGGTGGTGGGTTGGAAACCGATCAATTAGAGTCCATAAAGCACCAGGATGAAAAAGGTGACCAAAAGGTGATAATGAGCTAAGTCAAGGACACAGCATCCTTGAACAAGTAGAGTCTGGAAACTCCACTTCTAGAAGACAAAGGCAGAGGTTGTTTTGAAGACATCTACAGCCTCATGCTATGGTGTGAATGTCTGCGTCCTCCAAGACTCATGTTGAAGATGGGGTATTTCAGAGGTGGCTGGGTTATATTTGCTCTTCTGTCTTGAAAGGAATAACCCATTCACGGATTAGTAGACTAATGGGTTATCACAGGAGTGTGTCTGTTATAAAAGCCAGTTTGGCATTTTCTTGTCCTCTTGCCATGTGACACCCTGAGCTGCCTTAGGACCCTGCAGAGAGTCCCCACCGGCAAGAAGGCCCCCATCAGATGCAACCCCTCAACCTTGGACTTCCTAACCTCCAAAACTGTGAGAAATAAATGTCTTTTCTTTGTAAATAACCCAGTCTCGTGCATTCAGTTACAGCAACACAAAACAGACTAAGACATGTGTAGAATGGAAAATCCTATGGGAACCTAGCCATTATGAGCTGGAGGTGAAGAAGAGAGTAGATGACAGAGAGTGATAATGTAGCAGGGATGGAATCATCCCATCTTTCCCAGTCCAGGGTGTCCAAAGCTATTTTTGTCTGGCTCCAAAAGTATTTTTGTCCTACAAGTATAGGAACTTCTCTCGCCACCCTCTGCACCCACACACACACCAAGTTTCCAGCAGTCTCCTGGACTACACAGGGAAGGGGTACTCATAACCCCACAGAAAGACTGAATGATTTGGCATAGGAGGTCTTGGAGACCCTGTAACCTATTGATTCCATGATATAATGGCTGGAGAAATTGCCAGGTGAGCTCTCAAATCCAGGCTGGTGATGGTCCCACTCAAGTGGTAGCAGACATTTGGTAGGTGAGGTTGCAATTCACAGGTTGAGGGAGACTGAATTCAGGAAATAAAGAATAAACTCAGAATTGTTGCCTTCAGGCCAGAGTCTGAATTGCCTGTGTGGAATGATGTTGCTATGAGGAATGTATTCATATACCTAGTTACCATATCATTCCACACAAACTATATCACTCCACTCCATATAAACTAGGATAGCAGTTCCTATCCTAGTTTATGTGCCCTGGAACCTTCTGCCCTGCAGACTTATTACAGGACTAAGTTCAGGAGCAACTTGCTATGCTCATTCTCCATCCTATCCCCTGAACTTCTTCCTGCCTTTGGCCTTTGCAATCCTCTTCAGTGTTCAGGCACAGGAGCATGTCTTTCTGCTTCTTTTTCATAGTAAACTTTAATAGCCACAGCAGAAGATTCACTGGAAAGAATTTCAGCTTCATCTAGGCTAAAGACATTTTACAATAATATTTATAAAGGCAGGCCAGGTGTGGTGGCTCACACCTGTAATCCTAACACTTAGGGAGGCCAAAGTGGGAAGATCACTTGAACTCAGGAGTTTCGAGACCAGCCTGGGCAACATAGAGAGACCTCATCTCTATAAAATAATAATAATAATAATAAAACAAAAATATATAATTATAAAGCCAGATGAAACATATTCTAAACCCTCCACTCTCTCCAAATGGGAATGATTTCTAAAATTTCAAGACTAGCAAACACATAGTTCCTTAGGAAAAGAAGAAAAGTGACTATTTTCTAACAAGAACATAACCAAAGGGGGTATTTGGTAATTGTCAAAGACTAAAATCACTTCTCCTGGGAGAACAGGGCATGGATCTCAAGCAGAAAGTTCAGAAGCCGGAGGCAGGATCTCTTAGATCTCTTTGAATGCAGTCCCAATAAACACTATCTTCCTGGAGCTCAGGGTGGGAAACACAGAACTCCCATAAACAGAGACTAACTGGACACCCTTGCACCATTCCCAAGGCCACTAAGGAACTACAGTGACCATGGTTTGCAGTGGCCATGGTTTCTGGTATGATCCCCTGTACATGAAGGTGAGTGAGGTCATGCCATTAGCAGACACGGGGAGGAAATATATCACTATGCAGGGCATATTCTGAGCATAAATATATCACTATGCAGGAGCATTTCTGAGGATAAATATATGAACACTATGCAGGAGCATTTCTGAGCAAATGCAGCCTGGCGTGGACCTGGGAAACAGGCTGCGGCTTTCCATGAAAGAGAACAACAGGAGGAATGTACAGAATGTGAGCTCACAAAACAAAAATCCTAAAAATGTTTCAGAAGATAAACATTATGAATAACAGCGAATGGAAGAGTTTACACCAAAGGAAATAGATGAAGTCAACCTGAAAAGTATCCCAAGATAAGTATCTTTAAAATTCTTAAAGTGTTTAGGAATGGAAATATAAAACAAGATGCAGGAAAAATATTTTAGGTTCACACCTACGCAGAGTGAAACTTCCGAAATTAATGGTAGAGAATAGAGAAAAGATCCCAAAAGTTATTAGAGAACACACACAAAAAACATAAATCTGATTGAGATTACATGTACCTTTGGAAATGTGGAATGTTGGAAGTCAATACACGGTTACTCTGATTTTAGAATTTTATAGCCAGCTGAAGAATCATCCAAGTGTCAGAGCCGATTCCTGACAACTTCATACAAGCCATGTTTTAAACAGAGTTTCACTGACAGAACAACTTAGAATGGACTCTATCAAGAGAAAAAAAAAGAAGTCTAAAGAATGAATTAATATGTGGTAGCTGGGCATGGGGGCTCACACCTGTAATCCCAGCACTTTGGCAGGCAGAGGCAGGTGGATCTCTTTGAGCCCAGGAGTTTGAGACCAGCCTGGCCAACAAGATGAAACCCCATCTCTACCAAAAATACAAAAATTAGCCAGGCATGGTGATGCACACCTCTAGTCTCAGCCACTGGGATGGCTGAGGTGGGAGAATCGCCGGAGCCCGTGAGGTGAACGCTGCAGTGAGCTGAGATCACGCCACTGCACTCCAGCGTGGGCAAAAGAACGAGACCCTGTGTCAAAATAAATAAAGAGTGTGTGTGTGTGTGTGTGTGTGTGTAAAGAATTAATGGTAAGCAAAGAAATTAGTAAACAAATATTAGTGAATCTAAATGTGTATCGTTATTAAAAATTATTACAAAATTGAGTATCATCAGTTATGAGCTGGAAAATAAACTTGGAAGTTAGAAGGTAAGATGAGAGTGAAAAGAAAAAGTATTTCAACTATTTTGTCATATTTGTGAGGAAGATTGAGGTACAGAATAGCTTTATGTTTAACTAGAAAAAAATCTTAAATTTTCATTAACTGTAATTATAGAACATAGGATATAAATATAGAAATGGAAAATTATAATATAGATTATATATTATATCATATTATATATTATATTTATATTATGTATATACTATATATATTATAATTATTATATGTTATTATATATTATAAATATAGAAATGGAAAATTTTTGAGACACAGTCTTCTGTCTCCCAGGCTGGAGGGCAGTGGCATCGCCTCACTGCAATCTCTTCCTCCTGGGTTCAAGTGATTCTCATGCCTCAGCCTAAAGGGGTAGCTGGGATTAGAGGTGTTCGCCACCATGCCCAGCTAATTCTTATATTTTTAGTAAAGACAGTGTTTCACCACATTGGCCAGGCTGATCTCAAACTCCTGACCTCGGGTGATCTGCCTGCCTCGGCGTCCCAAAGTGCTGAGATTACACAGGTGAGCCACCGCACCAGGCCAGAAAATACAACTTTTTAAACAAACAGAGGGAAATGAAACAAAGAAAACTTCACCTACACAATTGGATATAAGAAGAGAAACAAAGATAATATTAAATTGCAAACACAAAATAATATAAAAGAAATAAATTCAAGTATATTTGCAGTTGTAGTACAGGTAACGGTTTTAAACTGCCTCTTAAAAAATTCTCAGAGTAAAGATATATCTAGATATAGTATGTAAGAGACACTTAAAACAATACTACCCCAAAAATTGGAACATAAAGAATTTGGAAAAAGAGATATAAGACAAATACTGACCAAAATAAATTTATATATCTCTCCAAAAAACAACTTAACATGAAAAGAATTGGAAGCTGCAAAGATGGTGGAATAAGGCCTGCCGCTGGAAACCGGCCTCTGGGCCGGGGGCGAGCAGCCCCCGGGAAGCCAAGTGCCAGGAGTGTCTGTTGGACCGTGCCAGAAGAAAAAAAAGAGATCGGCCGGAGGAAAGGAACTAACCGAACATTCTTCCTCCCTACCTTACAGAGGGGAGTGGTCATCTACACTAAAGCGAAGTGTCATGCGCTTCCGTGTGAAGAGACCACCAAACAGGCTTTGTGTTCCTTATCACAGGAAGAACATCTTCCTTGACCTTTAGGTGCTTTTATGTTCATCTCAAAAACAAAATTCTGAACTCAGGACTTGGTGTGTCCGGAATTGGTGGGTTCTTGGTCTCACTGACTTGAAGAATGAAGCCGCAGACCCTCGCGGTGAGTGTTACAGCTCTTAAGGTGGCGCGTCTGGAGTTTGTTCCTTCTGATGTTGGGATGTGTTCTGAGTTTCTTCCTTCTGGTGGGTTCCTGGTCTCGCTGGCTCAGGAGGGAAGCTGCGGACCTTCACAGTGAGTGTTACAGCTCATAAAGGCAGTGTGGACCCAAAGAGTGAGCAGCAGCAGGATTCATTGCAAAGAGCGAAAGAACAAAGCTTCCACAGCGTGGTAAGAGACCTGAGCATGTTGCCACTGCTAGCTCGGGCAGCCTGCTTTTGTTCTCCTATCTGGCCCCACCCACATCCTGCTGATTGGTAGAGCCCAGTGGACTGTTTTGACAGGGCACTGATTGGTGCGTTTACAACCCCTGAGCTAGACACAAAGGTTCTCCAAGGCCCCACCAGAGTAGCTAGATACACTGTCGATTGGTGCACTCACAAACCCTGAGCTAAACACAGGGTGCTGATTGGTGTGTTTACAAACCTTGAGCTAGATACGGAGTGCCCATTGGTGTATTTACAATCCCTGAGCTAGACGTAAAGGTTCTCCAAGGCCCCACCGGAGTAGCTAGATACAGAGCGTCGATTGGTGCATTCACACTGAGCTAGCCACAGGGTGCTGACTGGTGTATTTACAAACCTTGAGCTAGACACAAAGGTTCCCCACATCCTCACCAGACTCAGGAGCCCAGCTGGCTTCACCCAGTGGATCCCGCACCGGGGCTGCAGGTGGAGCTGCCTGCCAGTCCCGCGGCGTGCGTCCGCACTCCTCAGCCCTTGGGTGGTGATGGGACTGGGCGCCGTGGAGCAGGGGGCGGCGCTCCTCGGGGAGGCTTGGGCTGCACAGGAGCCCACGGAGGTCGGGGAAGGCTGAGGCATGGCGGGCTGCAGGTCCCGAGCCCTGCCCCGCGGGAAGGCAGCTAAGGCCCGGCGAGAAATAGAGCACAGCGCCGGTGGGCCGGCACTGCTGGGGGACCCAGTACATCCTCCGCAGCCGCCGGCCCGGGTGCTAAGCCCTCATTGCCTGGGGCCGACAGGGCCGGCCAGCTGCTCTGAGTGCGGGGCCGCCAAGCCCACGCCCACCCGGAACTCCAGCTGGCCCGCAAGCGCCGCGCGCAGCCCCGGTTCCCGCTCGCGCCTCTCCCTCCACACCTCCCTGTAAGCTGAGGGAGCCGGCTCCGGCCTTGGCCAGCCCAGAAAGGGGCTCCCACAGAGCAGCGGTGGGCTGAAGGGCCCCTCAAGTGCCGCCAAAGTGGGAGCCCAGGCAGAGGAGGCGCCGAGAGCGAGCGAGGGCTGTGCGGACTGCCAGCACGCTGTCACCTCTCATTGGCAAGTGTCTCTATGTTGTCTCCTAGAGTGGGTAGTCCTGCTTCTTTTACCAAGTTACTTTCCCTATGCTTGAAATGTGGCTATCACTTCTCTACACATTACCTCCGTGATTTGGAATGGAAAAGGCCACTTTCCTTTTTGTTCTGCCTCTGAAGTTGAACACAGAGGAGCTCCTAGGATTCCAGTTATCCTGCCAACATCTCCAGGGAGAAAGAAGCAACTCGCATGGGTCTTCTGCTGTTTGCTTAATTATAAAGACATCATTTTTCAAGCTGAGGGCTGAGTTTCATTTGAAACAGGTGCTTAGGTGGTGGTATTTGTGAATACTTTTCATTCCAAGCAAGAAGACTAAAGAAGTAGCAAGTATGGATGACTTCAGGGTTTAAAAAAAAGTCTTCCACTTTCAGCCACTACCATGATAAGCACAGCTGAGGCTGCAGCAGTAAATTCCAAATATGTGTTTCTAATTTAACGTGAAAGATACTAAAAATTTATATTTGTATATTTAAATCCTGGTTCATCCTGTGACATAGATTTACTGAATAAGAACAAAGACCCAATTTTAAACAAAAACCTAGGCCGGGTGCAGTGGCTCACACCTGTAATCCCAACAGTTTGGGAGGCCGAGGCAGGCGAATCACCTGAGGCTGGGAGTTCGAGACCAGCCTGACCAACATGGAGAAACCCCATCTCTACTAAAAATAGAAAATTAGCCGGAGGTGGTGGTGCATGCCTGTAATCCCAGCTACTCAGGAGGCTGAGGCGGGAGAATCGCTTGAACCCGGGAGGCGGAGGTTGCAGTGAACCCAGATTGCACCGCTGCACTCCAGCCTGGGCGACAGAGTGAGACTCCGTCTCAGAAAAATAAATAAAAAAAAAAACTTTGGACATAGAGGAGTCGGGGGCAGAGAGGGGAGGATGAGAGAATTTTCCATATAACTTCTTTTCCTTAAAAAAAAGAAGCAAAAATGCCTCATGCAGTGCCATCTGACTTTATGGTGTTTCATACTATACAGTTACATTTTTTTGTAAACGCATAAGATTAACTCTTCCTGCAACCCAAGGTGGATACTTGGATGTTTGATTTTTTTTTATTTTATTTATTTATTTTTTGAGGCAGAGTCTCGCTCTGTTGCCCAGGCTGCAGTGACTGGTGTGGTCTCTGCTCACTGCAGTCTCTCCCACCCGGGTTCAAGCGATTCTCCTGCCTCAGCCTCCCAAGTAGCTGGGATTACAGGCACGCACCACCACGCCCAGCCTGATTTCTTACTCTAGATATTAGGTATAATGTTAGGCTGAAAAGGCTGGGACTCAGGTACTGTCCCCAGTTGGGACTGGACTTTCTCATCAGAGCATGGGCCTCAGAAGCAATGTTCCCAAACTTGCGGTTGGGTCATCGTGGAAAAGAAACTTCAAACAAGAAAAATAATTACAATAAGAAATTGATTTTTTTTCCCACAACAGTTATAAAGAACAGACTGTCGTAGAAAACTGTCCTTGCTTCCAAATCAGCAGAGGACCATTGTGTGTACTGTCAGGTCTTTATGTAAGAGTGAAACCTTTATGCTTCTTTGTGAGTAGAGAATAAATTTTGAAACTAGATGAAATTAAGAACAGAGAGTTTTGGAACATCTCTGTGTTTTCCGGAATGTTTACTCAGGTCCATCAATGCTATGATGCTAGGAATAGCGAAGATTCACCAAAATTTGAGAGTGATAAAAATGGCCCAAAATTGGAAATGTTGAGCACTCTTACTATTAGTGAGATTGGTCAATCAACCCATTTGAAATGGGTAAAAAATACTTTTAGTAAAATAATTACATATTATATATAAAATATTTCTTTTTTTGAGGGCAACTACTGAGTGAGTGATAAAAGCACAGTAAAAATCTTTGCTTAAAAGTAACTCAAATTTTTCTCTAAGTAATCTACCTACTTCCTGATGTTTTTCTTTAATATTTTGGAATTGTTCAAGACAGAATGGAGCCTACATATATGGGTTCCACTAGTATGTTGAAAATGTCATATCATGGAGAATTTGTACCTTCCAGGTGTCTGTTAACCCATCTTCTGTGTGTACTTCTGGCATCTTTTTTGGTAGGATCATTTGACGGGTGGTAGAGTACCTGTACTTTTGGCACCATTGAAACCGGCTCTGGCCCACTTGTTTAAATAGCTATCAGACTCAGTGTATATACTTTATATTTTTTTCATTCCACAGTTGAGAGAACCAGTGTTTAATGCTCTTGAAATTGTTTCTGTATCTTCCATGGTTCAGATCAGATGCCTTTAACAAAATGGATATATTGCAGCTGTAGTTGCCCAGTGTTTACTTAATACATCTACATTTTTTTCTTGTCTATTTTGGTCCCTTTGATAGGAAAAGCTATAATTTTAGGCAGGACTGTACGTCGATTTGTAGCCATGCTTCCTTCCCTTCCCTTGCTCATCCATGTTAGCTGGCAGTTTTTCTTTTGAAAAGTTAAACAAAAACAGGATATGTGCAATAGAAATGTATATATATATGTGTATTTTAATACTTGTGGACAAATGTTAAAAGTTGTTTAAGAACAACAAAATCACCAATGTCTTCCACTTTAAGATATGTATAGTTTTGTAAGCATTAGTGCTTGGTAGCATATTGTAGTGCCATGTTAGGGGTTAGTGCATGAGCCTAGTGATTTTAAACTTCAGGATGAATTATTGATAATAACAGTGTAAAAAGAGTGGAAAATCTAAAACTTTTCTTTTTCCATAATGTCTAAATATGTTATATTCTCCCTGGGGAAAAGAGGTTAAGGCCCAAAAGACTCATTTATGAATAGAAATATGGGGTCAAAATCTGAGATACTATGTTTGAGGACATTTCAGCTTTCCATAAGGTGTCTGGAAACCAGCTGTCTTTGTGTCTTATGAAACCTCAAGTCAAAATGAGACCCCATTTAATTATTCTGCTTTGCTCTTTTTTCGGGGGTGGGGAGATGGAGTCTCACTCTCTCACCCAGGCTGGAGTGCAGTGGCACAGTCTCGGCTTACTGCAACCTCTGCCTCTTGGGTTCAGGCGATTCTCGTCCCTCGGCCTCCCGAGTAGGTGGGACTGCAGGCATGCGCCACCATGCCCAGCTAATTTTTGTATTTTTATTGGAGATGGGGTTTCACCGTGTTGGTCAGGCTGGTCTCAAACTCCTGACCTCAAGTAATCCACCCGGCCTGCTCTTTTCATGTCTTAACATGACACGTCTTCTAGGTTCATTCTTTTCCTACTCCTTGTATGTCAAGAAATTACATTTTGCATGTCTTATGGAGATGCTGTTAATTGCTTCAGTGAGTGCTTTTCTAATCTGCAAACCATTTACATTTCCTGTTTGCAGCATGCTGTGTGCAAACACTCAGTAATTTGGAGTATTCGATTATTTGTTAGGGCTCTTCCTGTTTCCAAATGCGCCGAATTGTCTATTGATGGGATTTTCAGACCTTTTCATGAGAACTGGAAATGTAGCTGGGTGGCACCTACCTAGGTTGCTACATAATAAGTAGACTCTTTCTCTTGGGTATAGTAAGCCTCGGACAGCTTTCACTTTTATCTACTTTACTTGTGGAAATGAAACAGTTGTTTTGCTCTGAAAGAATAAGATAGCTTTCTGTAGAGAAGGAATTCCTACCTCTAAAAGCTGCCTTGAGAACTCAGAAGTGGCAGTTTTCTGAGGTGATTTTTAAATTTCAGTATTAGATAGAGTCCAGCATTTGCTGACACAGATTCTACATAACTGATGCATGATAGCACATGCAAAACTATTATAATGTGATGTATCTTGTGCATACACAGGTTAGAACAAGTAGACTCTGGCAGCAGGTCTCCAGAGACTCAAGTTTAGATTCTCGTAGTGTATTTGGTGTAGTTATACTCTTGGCTTATGTAGTTTAGTTCCTGGGAGAATCCATTACTGAAAAGCATTTAAATTAAAAAAATTAAAAAAAAAAAACTGAAAAGCTAATGAATACAGAATAGCACAGTATATAGGAAAGGATATTTCCTGTTGCAAAAAAAAAAAAAAAGCCATAAAATGAATAGTAATTTTCAAGAGGTAGAATTTTAGTAGCAATAAGTTTGTGCATGTATAGTAATCTGCATTAGCAAGGTTGTACAATAGAATAAGTGATACTACTTGAGTTTGTAGGGCTCTGCAATCAAGACTTGCACAAAGGCCAGGTGTGATGGCTCATGCCTGTAATCCCAGCACTTTGGGAGGCCGAGGTGGGCAGATCACAAGGTCAAGAGATCAAGACCATCCTGGCCGGCATGGTGAAGCGCCGTCTCTACTAAAGGTACAAGGGTTGGCTGGGTGTGATGGCACATGCCTGTAGTCCCAGCTACTCGGGAGGCTGAGGCAGGAGAATCGCTTGGACCTGGGAGGCGGAGTTGCAGTGATCCGGATCACACCACTGTACTCCAGCCTCAAAAAAAAAGCTGCACAAAAGGAAAAAATGTTCTGGTTAAAGAGCGTATGAAAGGTACTTTCTTTTAGAACAGTATGAATGTATATGAATTTATCTTTGTGTGAGAAATAATCAACTTTTATGTAAGTTAAAGGTTAAAGGTCCTGTTTGTTTCCTAAATCAGAGGGTTAGAGCTGTTGAAATTAAACCTTTATAGTGCTTAACCTGGGAACAAATGTACCAAGGCCCCACTGAAGCTGCTCTGTGGGTTTTTTGCTTACAATGTTTCAGCAACAGGCATTTATTTTGTAGAACGCTGTACTTTCTGCTTTGTCTCCTCATCTTTCTCCATTGGTTTCCTGGGTACATTTTTTTTTTAAAGGGAGAGAAGTTTGTGAGTTTAATGTTTTAAAAAAACTCCCAAGAACATGGATAAGCCGGATTTCTCTCATGCTTATGATTAGGGAGTTAAGATTTAAAGATGCAAAGCAGAAGGATTGAAAGGAATAGCCAGTGAATATGTTTGGGTGGGCGGGGTGTGAAACCTTGTTTAACATAGACGTGTCTATGCCCTGTGACCGCTTATTCTTTATCAAGGAGAACCCAGCAAACTAGTTTCTTTCTTGATCTGAGGAATCACACAGCTCACATCAGAATATAATAGTGGAACTAGGGTGACTTCACTCCCTTTCACCTGATGTCTATCTTGGCCTGTTAGCACCTTGACTATCCCTGAAAAGACTGGATCTACATTTCCTTGTTTTCCCAGGGAAAAAACAAAAAGATAAGTGATGTAGATCTAAGAAATAGTGCCTCTTGAATATTTAATTCTTACATGACAACTGACACACAGGGAAAAGGCTGTGTTAAGTTGATTATAGCTCCTCTCGAAATGTCCTATGCTGTCAGTTGGTCTTAGAGACATTGGAATAACCAAGCAATATTCAGACATCTGCGCTATCTGGGGACAGCACTACATATTACAATGATGTCAGCAGTTCAGTTACTTGGAACAATTAAAGATTACCCTTAACAGCCATGTTAATACGTCTAAATGCTAAAATATACTATGAGTTTTTCATAGTCTTGAAAGTATACAGTTAATTACTTTTCAAAGTTACTGTGGTCTCATGTTGACTCTTCATGTGTCTGTGATATGCAAAAATATGAAGAGATTCTTGGCCTCCAGGAGCTTACATTCTCACGGTGCTGTTGGTTCAAGCAGATTTCTTCTAGTTTATTAATGAACATTGTTGGCTATTAATTATATCCTATTTGGAAGGATCCCTTGGTGAACAGTTTTAAAAAGCAGAGGGCTGTGCTAAATTTGAGGTTATTGATAGCTTGAGTTTACATTGTATTAGCCCTGCTCTTTATCATTTTTTCCCTAGGGAGCTATGCAGGTAATGCTTATTAGCATGAATCAGAAAAGAAACCATTCTGCCTAAGAGCATCTTAACCATCCCCCTAAACCACCTATGCTCTCCTGTTATAGTTGTCAGTAAATCACCAAGAAAATTAACAGCTCCTTAAGACTGTACATCCCTCAATTCTCTTTCTTTTCCCAGAGTTTGTACATCATTCTCTAATCAGATGGACCAGGATTTGCATATAAGCCTTTTAAAACTGATTAATGGTCCTAATTTTAACATTTTTGTGTATGACTCTTATCCCTGTTCTGAAGCAGCATTGTGATAGATGTGGAGTTTCTGCCTGCATTTCTAAGCAATTATTAACCCAACTTTTGAGTTGAAACTTGCATGGATCCTTGTTATTTCCCAGAATTCCTCTGAATCAAGGAGTTTATTTTACATGCTTATTAAATTCAAACTGGGTCTGATTGAAAGTGCAAGCAATAGTGGCAGGCCCTTAACTCTGATTTTAGAGTACAAACATTCTAATGCATGATTCAAAATGTCCAGTGTTGTGGTTACTAGGTATTTTATATATGCATTTGTTAATAATGAAGCAATAGAGACTAAAACCAATAGCTTGAATTTATTCAGATTATTTTCATGTTTTAATAAAGGATTTTTCTAAAAAGAAAAGAATTAATTGAACTCAAATGGGTCATTCATATGGATAAAATGACAAAAAAAACCATCAAGAATCTAAAACAATTATAAATCTAGTAATATAGCCTCAAAATATAAAGTTTTCAAATTTGACATAATTACAGTGGGAAACTAATATATTAATACAAAACTTGTATTAACTAAAACTTTCCAAAACTAATACAAAACTTGTTAAAGCTATAGAATATGTGAATAACATGATGAACAAGACATGTTCATCACGTTATTCACACGTTTATGTTACACACACGTTTGTGACCACATAGACAAATATACCCAATAGAGAGAGAATAAACTCTGTTTTCAAACACTTGCAAAATATGGGAGTTTTCTTGTTTGTTTTTTGAGATGGAATCTTGCTCTGTTGCCCAGGCTGGAGTGCAATGACACAGTCTCGGCTCACTGCAACCTCCATCTGTCAGGTTCAAGCGATTCTCCTGCCTCAGCCTCTTGAGTAGCTGGGATTACATGCCACGCCCGGCTATTTTTGTATTTTTAGTAGAGATGGGGTTTCACCATGTTGGCCAGGCTGGTCTTGAACTCCTGGCCTCAAGTGATCTGCCTGCCTCAGCCTCACAAAGTGCTAGGATTACAGGCGTGAGCCACCACGCCCAGTTAAAATATGTTTTAAAATAGTGGTCAAATACTATATGAAAAACTAGGCTTAATAAATTATGAAAACTAGTATCCTATGGATTACACTGTTTGCCAAAATACAATAAAAGTAGAAATCAACAATAAAATGATACATAAGTAACATTTCTCCATTATAAAAGGAATGTAAAAAGGAAACTGTTGTACTACTTATGGGCTAAAAAGGAAATCAAAATGATAATATTTGATACCAAATGTCAACAAAAGTCTTATCCATTAAACTTATGGAATTACGCTAAAGTGGTACATAAAGGAAAATTTATAAACTTAAATTCATTCATTACAAACAAAAAAGTGTTCAATTGAAATCTAAATAGAGGATAACAAAGTAAATGCAAAGAATGCAAGAACAAGGGAAAATAAAGATCAAAGAAGAAATGAATTAACTTGCAGGGAAAACAGATCTAATCAACAAACCAAATCTGTTACTCTTACAAAGGCCAAATAAAATAGAAATCTTGACATAAGCCATAAAAAGGAAAAATGTAGAAAATAATTAAAATTAAAGAACGGCTCTTTCTTTTCTATGTTATTTTCTTCTTCCTTTTTCTTTTTCTTTCCTTCTTGAATAATTCAAACCACAAGCCGGTAGCTGGGGCTGAACAAGGCAGGTGTTGCGGGGAGAGCCACAGAGGCTGCATGAGGTGTCAGAGACCACGAAGGGTGAGGAGGTGTCCCCATAGGGAGGCAGCCTGATATGGCCTATCGAAGGCTGAGCAGGGCAAGAAGAGGGTCCACAAGGAGGCTCACCTTCTGCAATAACCCAGAGACAGCTAGGGCATCAGAAACCAAGCAGACTGAGGAGGACATTGCCAGAGCCTGAGGTACAGGTTTCTGGAGACTGAGCAGAGGGAAGAGGGCCTCCATCCAGGGGACATCCCAGAGGAGGGGGCACAGGGTGTCAGAGCCAGAGGAGGTTGGTGGTGGGGGCCGGGCACGGTGACTCACGCCTGTAATCCCAGCACTTTGGGAGGCCAAGGCGGGCAGATCATGAGGTCAAGAGATCGAGACCATACCAGCCAACATTGTGACACCCCGTCTCTACTAAAAATACAAAAATTAGTTGGGCGTGGTGGCGGGCGCCTGTAGTCCCAGCTACTTGGGAGGCTGAGGCAGGAGAATTGCTTGGACCCCGGGGGCAGAGGTTGCAGTAAGCCGAGATCGTGCCACTGCACTCCAGCCTGGCAGCAGAATGAGACACCGTCTCAAATTAAAAAAAAAATTAATTAATTAAAAAAAAAGAAAACTGGTAGCGGGGGCAGGGGGTGTCTGTTTAGGAGGAAGGCCCATCAGGGGGTCTAGAGGCCTGAGCAGGTTAAAGATAGTATCTACTCAGTGAGAGGGCTGGCATGAGATATCACAGCCCAAGACGGGAGAAGAGAGCTTCCACGTAGGAAATGACCCAGCTCAAGGCAGGTGAGGAGGACATTCATGCCGAGGGAGAGGGGTAAGCAGGGTGGCGTAGCCCAAAAGAGGTGAGAAAGACATCAACACAGGTTAAAGGAGGGAGGAGAAAAGAAAGGAAAGGGCAAAGGCAGTGAAAAGAGTACCGTGCAGGATTCAGTCAGTAAATATATTAAGGGTAATGGCAGCCAGCCTTCTCCCTGTTGGAGAAGGAGTTTAGAAATATGGAGAGGGGCCAGGTGCGGTGGCTCACACTCTAATCCCAACTCTTTAGGAGGTTGAGAGGGGCGGATCACATGAGTTCGAGACCAGCCTGGCCAACATGGCGAAACCCTGTCTCTACTAAAAATACAAAAATTAGCTGGTCGTGGTAGTGTGTACCTGTAATTCCTACCACTTGGGAGGCTGAGCTACTAGAATCATTTGAACCAGAGAAGCGGAGGTTGCAGTGAGCCAACATTGCACCACTGCACTCCAGCCTGGATGACAGAGCAAGACTCCGTCATAGAAAGAAAGAGAGAGAGAGAGAGAGAGACAGAAGGGAGGGAGGGAAGGAGGGATGGAGGGAGGGAGGCAGGGAGGGAAAGAAGAAAGGAAGGGGAAGGGAAGGAAGAAAGAGAGAGACTGATAGAGACAGAGAGAGAGGGAGGGAGGGACGGAGGAAGGGGAAAGAACAGAGAAGGAGAAAACTAGAAAGAATCCTGGAACATTTCATTAGAATTGGAGATATCAGTATGAACTTGTATATTTTTAATATATAGAGATGGATTAGAAATATAGATGTAATGTGTAAATACACACACTTAATCAAATTCTCTCACTATGTCCACTGAGAAAGCCACATCCCAGTAGTAATGAAAAAAACAAGGACCAAAGTCATGGATTCTAAACGGCACTACTCACCAAAAGGATCCAGGGCTACCTATAGAAAATGGTCAGTTCCAGGACTGGGGCAGGAAAGATGAAGCTGAAACATCTGACTGTACCAGAAAGTAAGGACATAACACAGAATTTTGGGGTCATGTAAAAAGGACACAGAACTGAGCTTAAAGGCAGTCTCACTGGCCAGTTTGAGCATCAAAATTAATAGTAATAACAGATTCCCTAATGAACAAATAAAAACCTAGTGAATGAAATAGCAATCATTGAGGCTGAGTCTGGTGGCTCACACCTGTAATCCTAGCACTTTGGGAGGCCGAGGCTGGAGGATCATCTGAGGTCAGGAGTTCAAGACCAGCCTGGCCTACATGGAGAAACCCTGTCTCTACTAAAAACACAAAAATTAGCCAAGCATGGTGGCAGGAGCCTGTAATCCCAGCTACTCGGGAGGCTGAGGCAGGAGAATCGCTTGAACCCAGGGGACAGAGGTTGCAGTGAGCCAAGATCACCCCACTTCACTCCAGCCTGGGCGAAAGAGCAAAACTCCGTCTCAAAACAAACCAATAGCAATCATTGAGTATAAATTAATACAAATTGAATGAATCCATAAAGGGAAAGTTTGATAAGGAATGCAATATTTACATGTTCTCTGTATTTGTCCATTAGTCCATTTTCACACTGCTATAAAGATACTACCTGAGACTGGGTAATTTATAAACAAAGGACATTGAGTTGACTCACAGTTCCACATGGCTGGGGAGGCCTCAGGAAACTTACCATCATGGAAGAAGGGGAACCAGGCACCTTCTTCACAAGGAGGCAGGAGAGAAGTGAGCAGGCATAACTGCCATTTAGAAAACCATTAGATCTCATGAGAATTCACTCACTATCACGAGAACAGCATGGGGGAACCACCCCTATGATCCAGTTACCGCCCACCAGGACCCACCCTCAACACCTGGGAATTACAGTTTGAATTACAATTCAAGATGAGTTTTGGGTGGGGACACAGAGCCAAACCATATCACTCTCAAAGCACCTCCCCACAAAATAGTATTAATTACAAAAAGAAAATTAATTACTTTACAATGTATAAGCCTGGCAGACACCACCCACATTAGTCTCACATATCTAGACATCCTATTGGGCTGTTTCTCTGGCAGACATCACCCGCATTAGTCTCACATATCTAGACATCCTACTGGGCTGTTTCTCTGGAGAACCCATATATCTCAATATAGGAGAGGAGATCTATTACAGCAATTGGCTCATGAGCTAACAGAGGCCAAGAAGTCCTATGCTATATGCCATTGCAAGCTGGAGAATCAGGAAGGTCAGTGCTGTAATCCATTCTGAGCTTGAAGGCCTGAGAACCAGAGGAGCCAACAATTCAAGGCTGAAGACCTGGAAACCAGCAGGTGAGAGTGGAAGCATGCTAGTGAAAGCCCCAGAGTCCAAGGCCCTGAGAACCAGGAGCTCCAGTATCGAGGGTAAGAGAAAATGAATGTCTCATCTCAGGAAGGAAGAGAGCATTCACCCTTCCTTGGTATATCTGTTCTATTCCAGTCCTCAATGGATTGGATAAGGACCACCCACATTGGTGAAAGTGGATTCTCCTTACTCAGTCCACTGATTCAAATGCTAATGTCTTCTAGAAACATCGTCAGAGACACACTCAGAAATAATGTTTTACCAGCTATTGGGGCATCCCTTAGCCCAGCCAAGTTGACACATAAAATTGACCATCACACTCCCTTAATCAAATCCCAACAGGACAAATCAAAATGAAGTGCCCATCTGTTAGGTTGCAATAGAAGAACACAGCATCATTTCTATGATATTCCTGAGAAAGATGCACCCCTGAATCTAATCATGTGGAAACATCAAACTCAAATTGAAGAACAGTCTACAAATTACTGACCTGTAACCTTCAAATATATCAAGGTCCAAAAACATCAAGAGAATGCTGAGGAACTGTTCCAAATTGAAGGAGACCAAAGCAACACAACTCAATGCAATGCATGATTCTGGACTGGATCCTTTTTCTATAAAGCACATTGAGGGGCAGTTTGCAAAGGTTGATGGGTGTTGTGGAATAGATTGTAATAACAAATCAGTGATAATGTCCTAATGTTTATGGTTTGATTGTTGATATGTAAAAGAATGTTCTTGTTTGTAAGAAATACATACTAAATTATTTGGGAGTAATGAAGTTTCATGTCAACAAATTACCCTCAGATGATGGAGAAAAAGTTCTTTGTGTTTATTTGCGACAATTTGAGTTTGTTTCCAACAAAAACAGGAAAAGAGAGATGATTGTTTTAAATAGAGATAAATAAGGTTTGGGAGTATTTTTTAGAAAAAGAGAAACAACAATTCTAATATCTGGGCAAAATGAATAAATTTCTGGAATGTAATTCAGAGCATTCAGGTAGAGCACATAACTACAACTTCTTCTGAAGTACCTAGAAATGCTGGGTAACATTTTTTAAAAGTGTTTTAAATGCGTAACTCAATTCACAAGAATGTAGAATATCCTCAGAAGAAAGAAAACATAGAAATACAAAGTAGGGAGGGACTGTTAGCACTTTCACATAGAAAATTTAAAAATGTCAATGAGCAAATTATTAGAACTCATAAGAGATTTCAGCAGGTAACACATATTTATCTTAGATACATTGCTGATGGGAGGATCCACATACAAAACTGAACGCATTTCTAAATAACACAATGATTTATAAGAAAAATGAGGTACAAAACATGCCATTGAAATTAGTTTCAAAAATTGAAAAGTAGTTAAGAATAAAGTTAGAAAAAGTGGAAGAACTTCATAAAGAAAACAAGGAATCTTGTTGGAGGGCATAAATAATAAATAGTGGGAATTTTCAATATTATATACATATTGATTATTTATAAATGAATTTATAAATTCAATGCAGTATCAAAATCTTAAAATTATCTGTAGAACTTTTCAAATTGATTCTACATTTATATGGAAGCATAAATGCAAAACAATAAATGGGACAAAAAAATAAAATAGACAAGACAGGGCCACTTAATCTACCATTTAGCAAGATGTTTATTAAAGCTATAGTAATTTTATATTATTGACACACCTGTTTGCTTTCTTTCAGAATGAAAATATGTTACATTTACAATAAGTGGAAATAAAGCTAGTTTCATTTCACAAGCAACAAACATAAACAAACAATATATGCCACCCACATGAGATCTTGTTTTTTTCTCTCTCTCTTTCAGTCTAGATTCCCTACAGAATTTTATTTATTTTTAAATTAACAAATAAGGCCAGGCACTGTGGCTCATGCCTGTAATCCCAGCACTTTGGGAGGCCAAGGTGGGCAGATCACCTGAGGTCAGGAGTACGAGACCAGCCTGGCCAAAATGGCAAAACCCCATCTCTATTGAAAATACAAAAATTAGCCAGGTGTGGTGGTGAGCACCTGTAGTCCCAGCTACTCGGGAAGCTGAGGCAGGAGAATCGCTTAAACCTGGGAGGCAGAGGCTGCAGTCAGCCGAGATATCACACCATTGCACTCCAGCCTGAGCAAAAAAACGAGACTCTGTCTCAAAAAATAAATAAATTGACAAAATTGTATGGTGTACAACATAATGTTTTGATACATGTATGCATTGTGGAATGGCTAAATTAAGCAAATTAACATATACATTACCTCATATACATTTTTGTGGTTAGAACAGAAAATCTATTCTCATAGCAGTTTTGAAGTACACGATATATTATTAACTATAGTCACTATAGTGTACAATAGATTTCATTAAATTATTTATAAGTAAATGAAATTTTATATCTTCTGACCAGAATCTCTTCAATCCCCACCTTCCTCCGCTCTCCCATCCTCTAGTAACCACCAGTCTACTCTCTGCCTTTATAATATCAACTTTTTTTTTATTTTTTTGAGACGGAGTCTCACTGTGTCACCCAGGCTAGAGTGCAGTGGTGCGATTTCGGCTCACTGCAACCTCCGCCTCTCAGGTTCAAGCGATTCTCCTGCCTCAGCCTCCTGAGTAGCTAGGATTACAGGCACACACCACCACACCAGGCTAATTTTTGTATTTTTAGTAGAGACGGGGTTTCACTATGTTGGTCAGGCTGGTCTCGAACTCCTGACCTCGTAATCCACCCGCCTCGGCCTCCCAAAATGCTGGGATTACAGGCGTGAGCCACCACGCCTAACCAAGATCAACTTTTTGTAATTCCACATGTATGCAAGATCACACAGTATTTGCCTTTCAGTGCCTGGCTTATTTCACTTAACATAATGTCCTCCAGATTCATCCATGTTGTCTCAAGTGACAGGATTACATTCTTTTTAAGGCTGAAGAGTATTCCACTGTGTGTATATATGCCACATTGTCTTTATCCATTCATCCATTGGTAGGCACTTAGGTTGGTTCCATAACTTGGCTATTGTGAATAATGCTGGGGTGAACCTGGGAGTGCAGATATCTCTTTGACATACTGATTTCATTTTCTCTGGATATATACCCAGCGGTGGGTTTGCTGGGTCATATGGTAGTTCTCTTTTTAATTTTTTCAGAATCCTCCATACATTTTTTCATAATGGCTGTACTAATTTACATTCCCATTAACAGTGTACAAGGGTTCCCTTTTCTCCACATCCTTGACAACACTTGTTATCTTTTGTTTTTCAATAGTAGCCATTCCAACAGGTGTGAACAGGTGTAAGGTGATATCTCATTGTAATTTTAATGTGCATTTCCCTGATGATGAATAATGAGCATTTTTCACATACTCATTGGTTAATTGTATGTCTTATTTTGAGAAATATTTATTCAGGTCCTTCATCCAATTTTTAAATGGATCACTTGTTTTCTTATTGAGCAGTTTTGAGCTCCTTACATATTTTGGATATTAACCTCTTACCAGGTGTGTTTTGCAAATATTTTCTCCCATTTCACAGGTTGTCTTTTCACTCTGTTGATTGTTTCCTTGGCTGTCCAGATGTTTTTTACTTATATGTAATTCCACTTGTCTATTTTTACTTTTGTTGCTTGTGTTTTTGAGGTCATATTTTAAAAATTATTGCCCAGACCAATGTAATGGAACTTTTCGCCTAAGTTTTCTTTGGTAGTTTTACTTTCAGGTCTTACATTTAAGTCTTTAATCTGTTTTGAGTTAGTTTTTGTAAATGGTGTGAGATAAAGATCTGATCTCATTCTTCTGCATATGGATTTCTGGTTTTCCCCAACACCATACGTTGAAGAGACTTTTCTTCCCCCATTGTTCGTTCTTGGCATCTTTGTCAAAGATCAATTGACCATAAAGGCATGGATTTATGTCTGAGCTCTCTATTGCTCTATTGGTCCATGCATCTGTTTTCATGCCAGAGCCATGCTTTTTTTTTTTTTTTTTTTTTTTTTTTTTGAGACAGAGTCTCGCTCTGTCACCAGGCTGGAGTGCAGTGGCGCGATCTCGGCTCACTGCAACCCCCGCCACCCGGGTTCAAGTGATTCTCCTGCCTCTGCCTCCCAAGTAGCTGGAACTACAGGGGTGTGCCAACACTCCTGGCTAATTTTTGTATTTTTAGTAGAGACGGGGTTTCACCATGTTGGCCAGGATGGTCTCAATTTCCTGACCTCGTGATCCATCTGCCTCGGCCTCCCAAAGTGCTAGGATTACAGGTGTGAGCCACTGCACCTGGCCAACCATGCTATTTTGAGTATTATATCTGGTAGTAGGTTTTGAGAGCAGGTAGTGTATTACTTCCAGCTTTGTTCTTTTTGCTCAAGATTTAAGATTGCTTTTTCTATTTCTGTGAAAAAAAATCATTGGAATTTTGATAGGGATTGAATTGAACCTGTAGATATCTTTAGGAGCATGTATATTTTCACAATATTAATTCTTCTAATCCATGAACACACGGTATCTTTCCATTTACTTATGTATGTCTTCTTTAATTTCTTTCATCAATATTTTATTATTTTCAGTATACAGAAAGTATACAGTTCACCTCCTTGATTAACTTTATTCCTAAGTATTGTATTATTTTAGCAGCAATGTAGAGTTTTTTAATTTCTTTTTTTGATACTTTATTGTTACTGTACAGAAAGGCTACCAGTTATTTTATGTTGATTTTTTATTCTTCAACTTTACTAAATTAGTTCTAACAGTTTTTTGTGGAGTAGTTAAGAGTGTTGTGTATACAAGAATATGTCATCTGTGAACAGGACAATTTGACTTCCTTCTTTCCAATTTGGATGCCTTTTATTTCTTTCTTTTGCCTAATTTCTCTGAAGCTACAGTAATTTTAGAAGAGTGAAATTAGCCTAGAAATACATGAATAGGTAAATGAGGTAAATGCAACAGACAAAAAGCCCAGATACAGACAGAAGCATAAATAGAAGTATAGTTGTATGATAGGGAAGCATCACAAATCAGTGAGAGATAATGTACACTATTAATCAAATGGTAGGGAGACAGTTATCACTATGGAAAAAACAAAATTGGAAAAAAATGTGGAATATAAAATAAACTCAATAAATTATATACAAAACTATGGAAAAAGTAAACTGTTTGAGTCAAAAAGTTTATGACCTTGGGTTACAAAGAAAATAATTGTATTAGCCCAAGATAAGAACAATAGAATAGAAAGTCATAAATGTGGCTATATCAAAATTTTAAACTTCTACTTAATCAGAAACAGCATATACAAAGATGAGACAACATGTAGGATGAAGAACATATATAATGGAGTGTTACTTTTAATGATATGATACCAGGCCAGGCGCCTGTAATCCCAGCCCTTTGGGAGGCCGACGGGGGTGGATCACTTGTGGTCAGGAGTTGGAGACCAGCCTGGCCAACATGGTGAAACCCTGACTCTACCAAAAATATAAAAAAATTAGCCGGTGTGATGCACGTGGCTGTGATCCCAGCTACTCAAGAGGCTGAGGCAAGAGAATTGCTTTAATTCAGGAGGCAGAGGTTGCAATGAGCTGAGATTGTGCCACTGCACTCCAGCCTGGGTGACAGAGCAAGACTCCATCTCAAAAAATAAAGATATGATACAAAAATAACTAAAATTTACAAAGACAAAGATGACTCAATAGAAAACTTATGGAAAATATATAAAGGGGCAATTTACAGAATCCAAATACCAACAAACATATGAAAAGATGATAAAAGTCACCAGTAATCAGGAAAGTACAAATTAAAATAATGCTATGCCATTTTTCACCCATTGGATCAGCCAACATTTTAAGATCTAACAGTATTACATATTGTTGAGAGGTCAAAATGAAGTTCAGGTAAGTTGCTGATGGAAATCACTACAACCATTGCAGAGGGCAATTTGATTGCATTTATTAAATGTGAAAATATACATGCTCTATTTCTCAGAGATTCTTTTCAGTCTCTAGGTTAAATATGTGTGGATATGGAAATATGTAAAGATGAGTATTACAGCATTCTTTATAAGAGAGGAAAGGAGGAAGGTAGAAAGTAACCACATAATTCAACAGGGGAATGAGTAAATAAGTGAGCAAATGAATTGAAATCACATGGATGATTATTCAGTAGTTATAAGAATGAACTATATTTATAGGTATCTATATATATAGTTCCAAAAATAACATTGAGTAAACAAGTAAGCTGTCAAATAACGTGTACCAATGTGTATGAAACCCCAGAAAGAGAGTATTTTCTGTGGCTATATGTGTGTGAGTGTGTGGGGGTGAAAGTATATAAAAGAACCCTGATAATAGCGATTGGTTCTGCTTGGAGGTTGAGTCAATATGGATTATGATAGGGGTCAAAGTAAGAGTTTGTTTCTAACCATAACATTCTAGTTTTTAAAGAACTTATCATATAGTCACATATAACTTGTGCAATTTTTGTTGTTGTTGTTGTTGTTGTTTTTGGAGACGGAGTCTTGCTCTGTCGCCCAGGCTGGAGTGCAGTGGCCTGATCTCAGCTCACCGCAAGCTCCGCCTCCCCGGTTCACGCCATTCTCCTGCCTCAGCCTCCGGAGTAGCTGGGACCACAGGCGCCCGCCACCACGCCTGGCTAATTTTTTGTATTTTTTTGAGTAGAGACGGGGTTTCACGGTGTTAGCCAGGATGGTCTCAATCTCCTGACCTCGTGATCCGCCCGCCTCCGCCTCCCAAAGTGCTGGGATTACAGGCGTGAGCCACTGCGCCTGGCCAACTTGTGCAATTTTTTAAGATATGATAAAAAAACCAAAAGCCAACATGCTAATATCTTAACACCGGTTAATTCCAACTGGTGCCAGTATGGATGAGTTTTCTTGTCTGACTTCAACATGAAATCTTTCACCTATTCTAGTAGGAGTGAAGTTTCTCATATGAAAAATACATAAGTACTATATTATTCATTGATTTCAAATAATTTTATAATTTTGTCATCCCCTGAGAAACCCAAAATTTCTGTAAGTCCTGGCATTAAACCAAAAGTCTGAATTACCAACAGATTCTATTTCTCTTGGATCTTTTTTTCTATCATATGCTTCCACTAAAGATCAATTTGAGCCTGAATGTTAGTGTTCAAATATATTGCATTTCAGATGAGTTATAAGAATGAAAAGGCAGAATTCTTTATTACTAATAAAGATAATTCATTAGCTGCTGCAGGAAGAAACCATGCTATTTCCAAGGGACTGGGGGAGGAGAATAGAGGCAATTATCTATTAAATGTACTCTCTATAGAGGAGCAAATTAAACTAGTAAAGATAAGGGTGGAGTGTATCCTGAAGTTTCTTTAATCCATTTACAGTGTATGCCTGGCACTGGAGTACCTAATACACTAAATCTTCGAGTAATCTAATGCCCATTTTGCTCTTGGCTTCTAGCTCTGAAAGAAGAGTGGCAAACTAATTGTGAAAGCAACAGAGGCTTTTATGGTCTTCACAAAGCTTGGTGTATCCAAATGCAGATTAGTCTCAGGGATGCCATGTCAGTTAAGAGTAATCTATGGTCCTTTCAAAACTCTTGCTGGGTTTTGCCTAAGATTCGAAGCCTAAAGCTCTGAATTCTGACCTCCCTGATTACTGACTGAGGAAACAATATCCCCAAAATGGAAAGCTCCAGGTCTGTGTGCTTAGATTTAGGCTCCAAGGACTGAACACCCTGCATGTAAGGTGTGTGTCTAAGCAGTATTTATGACATAACAAACCAGCCAAGAGCTGGAGGTTCTGATCAGCAAATAAGGAAGGAACAACATCTGACATCTTTACCCACTTTAACTGTGAGTATATGAAATCTAGGCAACAAAATAAATAGAACAGAGACTGGAAGACGTGATGCTTCCTGGGAGAACATGTGCCCGTAAGGATCGATCTCATGGGATTCTTAGGCAGGTCTTGCTAACACAAAATCTGTGGGTGCAAACAATATGTATTCTATATTATATTATATATAGTCAGACCTCATTTTCCCACTGTATCTGGCATCAACACCCACCATCTATTTGAAGCACAAGTTTCTAATATTATATTTACAGGCAAAAAGTCAGGACCATCAAATGGCCTGCGTGCTAACTGCTGTACACACTAAGCAAAAACAGATTGAACTTTATCAATTTGCTGTTCGTAAAATGACTTCAAGATTCAAAGGTCTAAAGTTTTCTCTGGTGACCACACCTGAGGGTATCACACATTCAAAGCTTTTCCACGTGACTTTCTAACATTCTTGTCATTGTAGGATTAAAAATTGCACCACTGACTCAGGGAAATAACCTGGTTTTTTTCTTTTGCTCAGGAAAGTTCCCACAATAATCTCATCATGAGGCTCACTCGTTCTCACCTCCAGAGTTCTGGGGGGTAAAATAATACATAAATGCAAGGATTATCTTATATATACACCAAGGGAAAGGAAATACTGCCTATTAAGAATTAGCAGCTAACAGCTGGGCGCGGTGGCTCACACCTGTAATCCCAGCACTTTGGGAGGCCAAGGCAGGCGGATCACAAGATCAGGAGTTCGAGACCATGCTGGCTAACAAGGTGAAACCCCGTCTCTACTAAAAAAAAATACACACACAAAAAAAATTAGCCGGGCGTGGTGGCGGACGCCTGTAGTCCCAGCTACTTGGGAGTCTGAGGCAGGAGAATGGGATGAACCCAGGAGGCGGAGCTTGTAGTGAGCCGAGATCGAGCCACTGCACTCCAGCCTGGGCGACACAGAAAGACTCCGTCTCAAAAAAAAAAAAAAAAAAAAAAAAAAAAAGAGAGAATTAGCAGGTAACAGGCCAGGCACAATGACTCACATCTGTAATCCCAGCACTTTGGGAGGCCGAGGCAGGTGGATCACCTGAGGTCAGGAGTTCGAGACCAGCCATAGCGAAAACCTGTCTCTATTAAAAATACAAAAATAAGCCGGGCCTGGTGGCGGGCACCTGTAATCCCAACTACTTGGGAGTCTGAGGCACGAGAATTGCTTGAAACTGGGAGCCGGAGGTTGCAGTGAACCAAGATTGTGCCACTGTACTCCAGCCTGGGTGACAGAATGAGACTCTGTCTCAGAAAAAAAAAAAAAGAATTAGCGGCCAACAAATTAACCAGGAAAAGCTCCTATAAACTAACTCTCTGCAATCAGGAATTTCAGAGAAATGATAGAATGTAGAAAAAGACTAAAGTCCTAGGCTAGAGTAGGATATTGTAAGTCCAGACTCTAAGTCCAAATGGGATTTACACACTGTGGCATGTCTATAAAAGAGTTGGGTCTTCATGGCAGACTCCGAGTTGTCTGTTCTACCAATAGCTAAACTGACATGTCTGTCAAACCTGAGAAATCTTTGCCTAACCCAAGGTCACAGAATTTTTTTCTATGTTTAGTTCTAGAAGTGTTATTGTGTTGGTTGTATATTTAGGTCTATAACTTATTTTGAGTTAATTGTTGGGTATGGATTGAAGTTCAGGTTTATAAGCTTGCAACACTCCCTTATTGGTACCAGTAGCTTTTATGTAGGTTCAATTGGTCCAAAATGTGGAACATTGAAATTTCAGCTTCTGACAGATCTCTTTAGTCTCTCCTCTTTCTCTGGGAAGAAGAGCATCAGGGTAAACAAAGACTAAAACTGTCGGCAGATATTACCTTGGCTTCAAGGCAAGGACCAGGATTCCTCTGCTTTCTGTCTACCTGTGATAAACTCCTCTGGGCAGAGCCTCTTCTCAGGGAAAAGCCCTTCCATTGTTGCAAGACTTTGGTTAATTTCCAGAGTTTTGAAAAAAAATGATTTTGATAATTTTCACAAGTGTTAGATCTTCATTATACTTTAAAAGTTGAACATTATGATGTGTGAACTATAACTCAAAAAAGTTGTACTAAAATTAATTATATTTCTATATAGTAGCAATAATCAGAAACTAGAATGTTAAAATCAACGATATTTACGATGGCATAAAAAAGATGAAATAAGAATAAATTTAACAAAATATGTGAAAAATCTGTACAGTGAAAGCTTCAAATGTGACAGAGAAATTCAGGAAGATCTAATTTAATGGTGAGATATATCGTGTTCATGGTTTGGAAGAAATAGACTCACATACATTGACAACTGATTTTTAACAAAGATACCATGATAATTCAATGAAGAAAGTATAGTCTTTTCAGCAAGTGATGCTAGAACAATTTGATATTCATGAGCCAGAAAAAAAAACAAAACTGAAACTTCAATCCAAACACAAAAATTAACTCAAAAGTGTTCGTAGACCTAAATGTAAAACTAACACAATAGGACATCTAGAACTAAACGAAGAAGAAAATGTTTATGACCTTGTGTTAGGCAAAGATTCCTTACATATGACACCAAAAACATGATCCATAGATGGACAAATTAGTTAATTACATTTCATCAAAATTAAAAACTTCTGCCCTTTGAAAGACACTGTTAAAAGAATAAAAAAATAAGTCAGAGTGGGAGAAAATATTTGCTTTATTAGCTACTTGGTAAATCCAGCCTTACAGCTAGCAATTGGTAGAAGTTAGGGTTCAAATTAATGTATGGCTGACTCCAAAGCCCATGTTCTTCACCTTACTCAGACAAGGCTCCTTCTATAGCACTGAACCCTGTCCCTGCCCATGGTATATGCTTAATAGATGGTTGTTGTATGAATAACTACTAAATTAAATAGAAGGGAACTCAAGTGTACGTATATGATCTAAAAGAGTTTCATTAGAGGCCTTATAAACAATTAAATAATATATATTGAGAGAAAATACAAACAGATTACAATTTTTAATTCATACAAATTAAAAATTGAAAGAGAAACATATAAGATACAGTAAATCAAGAGGCATTCCAAGAGTAAGATCCTAGTGAACAGATCCGGGTAGGAGAATTATCACTTTTTTAATAGTGTGTGGTCTTCATGGGAGTCCCAGAATTTAAAGAACAGCTTCAAATAGGGAAACTAGCATTATCTAGGCATTTGACTTCACAGACATTAACAGCCACTTCACATTTACAAGACTGAGTTTGGGGTGATGCCTGGGGAAGAGTTAACTTAATGAATTGGCCTCAATTTAACATTTAAAAGAAATAGTATGCTTGTTTGTTATCCAATAGATGTTTAAGATTATAGACTAGTTAATTTCCAAGGTTAAATGAAATAGATTTTTTAAGGTCTTATGTTTCACATAGGGCAGCCAGCTTCTTTAAAATACATACACATTTCCAAATGGAAATCACTCTCACCAAAGCAAAAACCTTCACTAGGCAAGTTAACATTCAACTTGGGCAACTAAAGAGTGCAGGAAAACTTACTGAAATAAAATTGCTATTTTCTGGTTAAAACAATAACTTCCCTTTGTTTCCTCATAGATCATGAGGATTTAGCACATATTTTTGGCCTTGGAAGTCCTTCCCAGTGAGCTCTTGGCATTCCTTCATCTTAGCATCATAGATGCACTATATCACTATTATTTATTTTCAGTGCCTGTTCTCTATTTGGACTGCTATTTAATTTGTCTTTCCCTATCCAGCATCAAGCAAAGAACTTGTAATACGCTGAATGCTGCATAGAAGGTTTTGAAACTACTTACCTGCTGTGGAACACCTGTATAACTTTAAAATGCATCAATCAATCTCGAGAGTATGATCATGCTTCCTGCTTTTAAGGATCTGAAGTTAACTGCAACTCCAAGTATACAAGACTTCTTTGGGACCCATGGAAGCATCTCTACATGCTCATGTTTGCCAGATTCAGTGGCCTCCTGAAACCTGGCCCTAGCTAATAAGTTAAAAAGCTCTAAGTAATCCCGAGCTGCATTTGAATCTCCAAGATCACTTGTTCATGGGTTGGTAATACTTTAAAGAGCCATTTGTTTAACTGCTAATCTGGATCTTATATTCTGAGCCCCAGCTTTTTTCTAAAGCAAAGAAAATACAAAATAAAAGTAAGACCAAATGCCTTTGTACCATGGAGAGAGAAATGACTCATTGGAATGCTTCTGTTTTTCATCACATCAAAGATGCATCAACATAAATCAACCATTATATCATGCACCATGATAAAAAAGGGGGATAAAAGTCCCCAAACCACTGCCAATTAAACCAACACAGTGCCTTTGTATTATTCAGAATTTTTATCTTAGCCTTATTGAAAGAGCTTTTTTAGAACATATTTAAACAATTCTGTCATATTTCATTCTTGCATACTCATTAAAAAGGAAAATATGAGAGATACAAATGAAAGGTTTCCAAAAGTTTCCTCTCATTCAGAATCCAATTCTTCAGAATTATTTTGCAACCCAGACTCTTTGATGTCCTCGTTTTCCCACCAAATATGTTATCAAGAGCATGGTAGGGCAGAGTTTCTTAGAAGAAGGCAATGTTATTGTCATTGAACACTGGCACTCATCCTACAAGTTTTGATTTTGGCCTCTTTTTTTCTGTGGGGTGGGGGGCAGGGTCTCGCTCTGTTGCCCAGGCTGGAGTGCAGTGGCACAGTCATGGATCACTGCAGCCTTGGCCTCCTGGGCTCAAGTCGTCCTCCCACCTCAGCCTCCCAAGTAGCTGAGACCGCAAGTGTGTGCTATGTTTTTATTTTTTTACTTTTATTTTTTTAATTTTATTTATTTACTGTTTATTTATTTATTTATTTTTGAGACAGGGTCTCACTCTGTCACCCAGGCTGGAGTGCACTGGTGTGATCTGGGCTCACTGCAACCTCCACCTCCTGGGTTCAAGCATTTCTCCTGCCTCAACCTCCTGAGTAGCTGGGAGTACAGGATTGCACCACCATGCCCAGCTAATTTTTGTATTTCAGTAGAGACAGGATTTCACCATGTTGGCCAGGCTGGTCTCGAACTCCTAGCCTCAAGTGATCCGCGCACCTTGGACTCCCAAAGTTCTGGGATTACAGGCGTGAACCACCAGGCCCGCCCTAATTTTTTCATTTTTTTTATAGAAATGGGGTCTCACTGTGTTGCCTAAGCTGGTCTCAAATTCCTAGTCTCAAGTGATCCTCCCACCTCGGCCTCCCAAAGTCCTGGGATTACAGGTGTGAGCCATCACACCTAGCCATCTCTTCTTTGTCTTACCAGAAAGTGTTAGTGGAAAGTTTTTCAGGCAACAACCAATACTCTTATTATTTCCTGAAATGGTTCTCAAGTGGTCTATTGGCCCAAGCATTGAAGTGTGCAGGTGGTTTAGTCTTGCACCAGAATAGCAACGGACGACTGCATGTACAGGCAGAGCCAGCTAGGGTATGAGATAGTGATTGCAAGATGTGTCCCAATTTCAGAGAGGTAAAATACGGGTGGAAATGTCTGTGTTGGAGCCCTTGCTGGGATCTGCTGCTTTCTATTTGTGTCATCTTGGGCAGGAGAGCAAAAGTGTTTCCTGAATTTGGAGTGAGAAGAAAGCCACATTCTAATCCTGACCCTGTGACTCATTAGCTATGGGACTTTGGGCGAGGTGTTCAAGCTTCTACGGATTCAATTTCTCCATCTGTTAAATGAGGATAATGGAAATACAAAGTTATTGAAAATACCTTTGTAAGAAATTAATTCCAGATACCTAGCGAAAGTTCAGTGAATCTTAGGTATTATTATTCTTATTACTTAATGTCTTTGAATCTGAGCTCCCTCAAGTGTATTACAGGGAGAATAATAATAACATTTATCTTACTCTACCCACAGAATTATTCAATGAGTATCAAGTCAGCCAGAATTTTGAAATCACTATGTAAAGCACTAGGCAAATATATAATATTTCAAGGAATTACTATGACTTTGTCTTTGTTTCCATTGCTCTATCCATTATTACAAAAATTGGCTGTGTGATTAACACGCAAGAGTCAGAAAGAGATGAACTTCTGTACATGAGACCTACCTTGTCACCCTTCCAACCAAAATGGGCTAAATACTCACAAGTATCTTGGCAGAATGTTTTTATGGCTAACACAAATGGCTTTATTTGTAAAAGTGAATCATCATCTCGTACACTTGAAAGTTAGAATACAGTCTGCTTTAGAATATTAAAAACAGAATACAGGGATGCTTTCGCTCCCTTTTTACACTACACTGGCGTCAGAATATCAGGATAGTTTTAAAAAATATATTGCGGGGAATGGATAGTTACCTTGTTATTATTTGTCCATGTTAATGGTGTGTCTCTTCAAAAAATGATACAGGCTTTTTAGATTTTTACTTTCTATTCTGGTGCAAGAAATTAAATTTAAATATACTTTGACAAATCCTTTTTCTGTTTATTTCAGCTAGATAGGAATTTTGGAACCATTGTTGGGTCCATTGGAAAGGAAAATGTGTCCATTATGCCAGCTGAATGTTGGAGTTGATATTAACAATAATTTACTGTTTAAAGCAGAGAAAACAGAAATATAGGTGAATCACTAAGTCATTTGTGAAAAAATATGAACTAATCCATTGTTTTATTTATTTATTTATTTATTGAGACAGTCTCACTCTGTCACCCAGGCTAGAGTGCAGTAGCTAATCTCAGCTCACTGCAACCTCTGCCTCCCGGGTTCAAGTGATTCTCCTGCCTTAGCCTCCTGAGTAACTGGGATTACAGGCCCAGCTAGTTTTTGTATTTTGAGTAGACATGGGGTTTCGTCATGTTGGCCAGGCTGGTCTCGAACTCCTTTGGCCTCCCAAAGTGCTGGGATTACAGGCGCAAGCCACCATGCTGGGCCAATTGTGTTATATTTAAACATATATCCTAAAGTCTTAAACAAATAACTCAGAACATTAGTCTGAATTCTTCAGTTGCAAGCAAAGAAACCCATTCTAGTTAACTCGCAAAAAAAGAATTTGGGAAGCCTGTCGGGACTCACACACCTGAGGGGAAACTAGACCATCAGGTTGGATCTGAATCCACCAGGCAGCCTCGACAGCAGGAGCGCAGGCCCTGCACCTTGGCTGTAAGGCAATGAGAGAGAGCTCCAACCATGTGCCCACTCTCCAGCCCTCTGCACCATGATCCTGGCAGAATGTTTCCAACAACCTGAGTGGAAGTCACAAGTCTGTCAGGTGGTAATTTGGGAGCTAATGAGAGAAAGCCCTTATTTGGGGTGCTGGGCTTTAATTAGTGTTTTTGGAAATAAAGAGGTAGATCTGCTAGAATGAGTAGCCCAAATGAGGTCCCGGTCCCAGTCAAGACTCCTCCAAGTCTTTTTTTCTTTTCTTTTTTTTAGAAGGAGTCTCACTCTGCAGCCCAGGCTGGAGTGCTGTGGTTTGATCTCTGCATACTGCAGCCTCTGCCTCCTAGGCTCAGGTGATTCTCCTGCCTCAGCCTCTTGAGTAGCTGGGACTACAGGCACCCGCTACCATGCCTGGCTAATTTTCGTATTTTTAGTAGAGACAGGGTTTTGCCATGTTGGCCAGGCTGGTCTCGAACTCATTACTTCAAGTGATCTGCCCACCTTGGCCTCCCGAAGTGCTGGGATTACAGGTGTGAGCCACTGCGCCCGGCCATCCAACTCCTATTGTATCTGGATATGTTGACCAGCGAAGGCTGCCCAGAAGCAGTGAATATAATATTTCTTGTCTGGGCTGCCTTCACTGCTTCTGGGCCACCTCTTCAGGTGAACATAGCCACATAAATATAGATGGGAGGTTTCAAAAAATACCTAATCTGATTATACGAGGTTCCTAAAATAAACCTCTTCATGGCTTCTAGCTGTGTTCTGGGTAAAAATCCAAGACTCTTATTTGGTTCTTCACAATCTCTGCAGTCAGAATGTTTACGGCTCAAATCCTGGCCCCACCATTAGCATTTCACTTCCTGTGTCTCAGTTTCACTTTTTAAAAAATGAGCATAATGGTTGCTGTGTGATTAAAAGAGTGAATACAAATAATACAGAACAGTGCCTGGCCCAGAGTCAGGGTTTTGTAGGTATTATTTTTCATCTTGTTAACGTTTTTACCTTTACAATTATCTAATGAAAAAAGCATCCAGTTTAGTCTTGGTAATAGGATTGCAGGCACCTGAAGTCCCACTGTGATTGACTGCATGTATTATGGGTGAGGTAATTTCCAAAAAAGAGACTAGGTTACTGTTAAGAAGAAAAAGTAAATGCCAGATGGTGTATTATTAGTCAGGCCCCTCCAGGGAAAACAAAAAACCAGAACCAATAGGAATGTGCATCTATAAAGAAATTTATTTTAAAGAATTTGTTCCCATGACTTCTACACTGCTGGTGGGAATGTAAACTAGTACCACTATGGAAAACAGCATGGAGATTCCTTAAAGAACTAAAAGTAGAACTACCATTGGATCCAGCAATCCCACTACTGGGTATCTACCCAGAGGAAAATAAGTCATTATATGAAAAAGTATACTTGCACATGCATGTTTATAGCAGCACAATTTGCAACTGCAAAATAATGGAACCAACCCAAATGCCCATCAATCAATGCGTGGATAAAGAAACTGTGGTATGTATACACGGTGGAATACTACTCAGCCATAAAAAGGAATTAATTAATGGCATTTGCAGCAACCTAGTTGAGACTGGAGATTATGATTCCAAGTGAAGTAACTCGGGAATGGAAAACCAAACATCATATGTTCTCACTCATAAGTGGGAGCTAAGCTATGAGGATGCAAAGGCATAAGAATGACACAGTGGGCTTTGGGAACTCAGGAGGAAATGGTGGGAAGGGGGTGAGAGATAAAAGACTACAAATTGGGTGCAGTGTATACTGCTCAGGTGATGGGTACACCAAAATCTCATAAATCACCACTAAAGAACTTATGTAACCAAACACCACCTGTTCCCCAATAACCTTTGGAAATAAAAAATTAAAGAAATAATTTAAAAAAAAGAATTTGTTCACATGATTACAGAGGCTGACAAGTCCTAAGATCTGCAGGGTGAGTCAGCCAGCTGGAGACCAGAAAAACCAATAGTATAGTTCCAGTCTGAGTCTGAACACTTGAGAATCAGAAAAGCTGATGATAAAATTCCAGCTCAAAGACTCAAGACTCCAGGAAGAATGGATGTTTTCAGTTTCATTCCCAAGCCACAAGAAGAAAGTTGATGTCCCAGTTCAATAGCCGTCAGGCAGGAAGAATTCCCTCTCACTCAGGGGATGACCAGCAATTCTGTTCTACTCAGACCTTCAACTGACTGGATGAGGTCCTCTCGCATCAGGGAGAGCAATCTGCTTCACTGAGTCTGCCAATTTAAATGTTAATCTCATCCAAAACATCCTCACAGACACATCCAGAATGACGTTTTACCTGGGCATCTCCTGGCCCAGTCAGTTGACACATAAAATGAACCAATTCAGATGGCAAACAAATAGTAACAATGTTCTACATGCAGTAATTTGATTAATTTGGTAGAATATTGCAATTTATTTAAATTGCTCAAATTCATAGGGCGTCAGCATTGAAGTGCCATCGTTTAAGCAAATGGGAAACTGAAGATACCATCCTCTTAATAAGGCTAGTCTCCGTGTTACTGGTGGAGGGGGTCCATATTTAAATGATTTTCTGAACTAGGTACTGAAGTCGCTAAGCATAGGCAATTATGTAAGTAATACTTTGAGACCCGATTCTTGAACCAGATTAAGAATTCCAAATTTACATCCCTACTGCCCAGCTTCAGAGTCCCCGTGCAATTAAAGGAAAAGAGACCTTTTATTCCAAGAGCCTTGATGTCTAAGACACAAAGTTAGGTGACTTTTTTTTTTTTTTTTTGAGATGGAGTCTGACTGTTGCCCAGGCAGGAGTGCAGTGGCGCGATCTAGGCCCATTGCAACCTCCACCTCCTGGGTTCAAGCGATCCTACTGCCTCAGCCTCCCGAGTAGCTGGGATTACAGGCACCCGCCCCCATGCCTGGTTAATTTTTGTATTTTTTCTTTTTTTTTTTTAGTAGAGACAGGTTTTCACCATGTTGGCCAGGCTGGTCTCAAACTCCTGACCTCAAGTGATCTGCCTGCCTTGGCCTCCCAAAGTTTGCTGGGATTACAGCAAAGTTAGGTGACTTTTTAAAAAATCTTAGTAAGTGTTTTCTTTTAGATGTAGCCTCGGATCGTCACTCTTATTGGACCACTCTCTAAGCCTGGTTTCTCTTGTCATCACTTGATTTCCTCAGGACTTAACAGTTGTCTTTATTCCTCAATATAATCTGAATCCACAGAGAAGTGTGTACCCACAGTTCCATCACATGGGTGCAAAGACCGCACAATCTATCCTTCAAATGTTCTCTCTGAATATTTAAGGTGACGGGTATCTCAACTACTCTGACTTGATCATTACACATTATGTGGATGTATTAAAATATCACATGTAGCCCCAAAATATATACATATATTATGTATCAATAAAAAATACAATTTAAAAATGTATCTTTGAACAAAACAAATTATATTGGTATGAATCACAGACTCCCAGACAAAGTTGATCCACATGTTAGCACATTCTAAACCAGTGGTAATGTGACCCTGGTGAACCATTGCCAAAGTCACTGAAAGCTTCTTACAAAGAAGAGAGAAAGCAAGAAAGGTGGTTCACACCTGTAGTCCCAGCACTATGGGAGGTAGAGGTAGGGGGAATGCTTGAGCCCAGCCTGAGCAACATAGTGAGACCCCATCTCTACAAAAAAATACAACAATTAACCAGGCATGGTGGCATGTGCCTATAGTGCCAGCTACTTGGGAGGCTGAGGTGGGAGGATCACCTAAGCTCAAGGAGGTCGAGGCTGCAGTGAGCTGTGATTGCATCGCTGCACTCTAGCCTGGGCAGCAGAGTGAGACCCTGTCTCAAAAAAGAAAAAAAAGAAAAAAGAAAAAAAAAGTGGTTTTCAAGTCCTAAGGGTGAGGATGTAACACATTCCTAACTATTTAACAAGTCTGACATCTAGTGGTCAACCGGTGTATCTAAGGTAGCTAGAGGAGACAGATCGACCCTTATTCAAGTTAATTGTGATGGAAGTATTGTGTAGATATTGGAAGTGTACTTCTGACTGTCGGAGTCAGTGAGACTGGGTTAAAAAGGGAAGAATGGAAATTATTATGCAAGCCACTCCGATGTTTGTTACACCTAAGATAAAGTAATTGAAGTAGACCAAGAGCCGGGAGTTCCGAGTAATCACTTCACAAAGGAAAGGGAGACAGAGAAAAAAGAATGAGGCAGGGCGTAGTGGCTCACGCCTGTAATCCCAGCACTTTGGGAGGCTGAGGTGGGCGGATCACTAGGTCAAGAGATCGAAAAAAAAAAAAAAATTAGCTGGGCATGGTGGCGTGCACTTGTAGTCCCAGCTACTCGGGAGGCTGAGGTAGGAGAATCACTTGAACCCGGGAGGCAGACGTTTCAGTGATCCAAGATCGTGCCACACTGCACTCCAGCCTGGCAACAGAGCGAGACTCCATCTCAAAAAAAAAATAAAATAAAAAATATAAATAAATAAAAAGAATGAGCCTGAGGCAGTGCATATTTGCATGTTTCTTAATAATAATCACAATAATAGCTATTTGACATGATACTATATGATGAGTCTTACACTAAATGTTTCATACATTGCTGTCTTTCCAGAAACTGAAAAGTATTATAATTCCCACGTCATCAATGATGAAACTGAGGAGCAAGGTGACTTGCTGAGTTGCCCAAATTCTTACAAACAAGACTTAGTAGAGCTAAATCACTATCTTAGATCCATTTGTTTGTTTGTTTTAATGTGAGTCAGGGTCTTACTCTGTTACCCAGGCTGGAGGGCAGTGGTACAATCAAAGCTCACTGCAGTCTCGACTTCCTGGGCTCAAGTGATATTTCCACCTCAGTCTTCCATGTAGCTGGGGCCACAGGGGCACACCACCGTGCCTAGCTAATATTTTGTAGAGACAGGGTTTCGCCATGTTGCCCAGGCTGGCCTTGAACTCCTGGGCTCAAGCAATCCCCCTGCCTTGGCCTCCCAAAGTGCTAGGATTACAGGTGTAAGCCACAGTGCCCGGCCGATCCTAGATCTTTTACATTCCAACTAGGCCACCACGCCATATTGTCTCTGTTATTCAACAGGCAGAGGAAGAGAGCAAAAGCAATTTATCCTCTCTGAATTGACAAATTATTATGGCATCATATTCATCCATACATTGAAGACAAGTTTTTAAAAGCATCATACAGAGTTCTTGAGTGTTTCTGCTATTCAATTGGTGTGTGTGTGTGAATCATATTGGATTCTCTTTGATCCTGTTTCATGTTTGCTTTCGTTTTTCCTTTAGAATGTTGTAATTTCCATCTGGAGACTATATTAGACCAGAAAGGGCAATCAAAGAGATTTTTACTCCCTCCATATCCCCATTTTCTGGACAGAGAACAAATTCCCAATAGACGTGGATAGCTTGAAGCACCGCCAAACTTTCACTCTTGCAGAAGCCTTTCAACCAAGGACAGTGTTTTAGGTGTCTTTCCAACCTAAACCCCGCCTTCAGAAATTCAGTGACCTGCTCAAAGATTTTTAAATTTAGAGATTAGAGGGCCCAGGCAATAACCGTTCCTGGACTTTACATTGCTTTGTAGGCTAAGTTTTGTGTCACTCTAAATATCTTAGGACATTATTCAGTTTGTACCTCATAATTTCTGGAAGAACTCCTCTGAATCCTCCAGATGACAAGGCACTTACCCAGAGCTCCCAGATCCCCTGTCTGTGTCAGACACCCCTACTATAATCGAGCTAGAATAAGGGTTCTAGGGGCAACGTGATCCAAAAACACACCAAGCAAGTGACCTAGAAAATGTTCCAGCTGGGCACAGTGGCTCACGCCCGTAATCCCAACACTTTGGTAGGCCGAGGCAGGTGGATCATGAGGTCAGGAGTTCGAGACCAGCCTGACCAGCATGGTGAAACCCTGTCTCTACTAAAAACACAAAAATTAGCCAGGCGTGGTGACATGCACCTGTAATTTCCAGCTACTCGGGAGGCTGAGGCAGGAGAATCACTTGAACCTGGGAGGCAGAGGTTGCAGTCAGCCGAGACCGCGTAACCACACTCCAGCCTGGGCGACAGAATGAGACTTTGTCTCAAAAAAAAAAAAAAAAAAAAAAAAGAAAGAAAATATTCCTATGCATGAAAACAAGGAAGAAAGTGGATGGTGATGTACATGAATGAGGTGCTGGGGGGCAGGTGGGTACACAGAAATTCATAAAGCTGGCATGCTCTCACTGCTTACAACAGTCATTGGCCATTAAACAATGGACCGCTTGTCCTTAAAAGAACTGTCGAGCAGGAAATGGGCAGGCCCGGGATCAGATTTCCTCTCTTGTCTAAAGCCTGGATGTTGCTTCACTCAAGAGCTGGATTCTTGGTTCCAGGGGGCCACCTGACTCTCAGGGTGGTACATTGTAGACAAAGCTGAAATCTATGTGCTAAAAGAGCTGGGTAACCGGATATGCTAAGTTTGGAAGCCCAGGCATGTGGTCAACAAGCAGTGTCGGCCAAGTTTAATACCAATAGGAAGCGGCTTCTTTTTTTTTTTTTTTGAGACGGAGTCTCGCCGTGTCGCCCAGGCTCGAGTGCAGTGGCGCGATCTCAGCTCACCGCAAGCTCCGCCTCCCGGGGTCACGCCATCCTCCTGCCTCAGCCTCCCGAGTAGC
Organism: Homo sapiens; assembly: GCF_000001405.40. Lineage (NCBI taxonomy): Eukaryota > Metazoa > Chordata > Mammalia > Primates > Hominidae > Homo > Homo sapiens. The sequence continues at coordinate 240,729,771 of NC_000001.11, read as the reverse complement.
TGGGACTACAGGCGCCCGCCACCGCGCCCGGCTAACTTTTTGTATTTTTAGTAGAGACGGGGTTTCACCGTGTTAGCCAGGATGGTCTCGAACTCCTGACCTCGATCCGCCCGTCTCAGCCTCCCAAAGTGCTGAGATTACAGGCGTGAGCCGCCGTGCCCGGCCGGAAGGGGCTTCTTAATCCACCACATGCTG